>NC_000001.11:235123515-235275030 GCF_000001405.40 Homo sapiens
GGTTCATTTACTATGGTCAAGGTACCTTTTCTTAGTCAACCCTCATAAACTGGATTTCATCACACCAGCATCAGATACCCACTCGTCTCCCATAATAGAGTGCTACCACTGTAAGGCTTAAATACAATTCTAGCCATTTCAACAGAAAAAGTATGCATTAAAGTTGATCTTATGTATTAATCTGAAGGCTGCTAATTTTTCTAAGTACCTTACTTAAGTGTTCATCACCGCACAACTAACTGTGGGGAAAAAGGATAAAGAACATAATTCAACCCTCCATTTGCTTATGGGTTTTTGTTCTCTTAAGGCAGAAAATAATGAGTGATAACAGACAACAATATCTAATTGCTAAATATCGTGGTCTACACTGGAACCTGTACTGGAGGGAGCGTAGCAAAACTAGAAAAGAAATGGAAGACTTCAAAGGATCTGGACATGAAGACAAGGAACGCTTGGATGTGAGCACTAAGTTTTAGATGCTACATGCGAGACACTGTTCTAAATGTTTATTAGCTTATTTAATCCTCACAACAACATTAAAAGAATTACAGCTGGGCACAGTGGCTCACGCCTGTAATCCCAGCACTTTGGGAGGCCAAGGCGGGCGGATCACTGGAGGTCAGGAGTTCAAGACCAGCCTGGTTGATACGGTGAAACCCCGTCTTTACTAAAATACAAAAAATTAGCCAGGTATGGTGGCAGGCGCCTGTAGTCCTAGCTACTCGAGAGGCTGTAGCAAGAGGATCACTTGAACCTGGGAGTTTGAGGTTGCAGTAAGCTGAGATAGCGCCACTGCGCTCCAGCCTGGGCCACAGAGTGAGACTCCGTCTCAAACAAAAACAAAAAACAAAATCCAGGTACTATTATCATCCCCATTTTCCAGATGAGAAAATGTACCAAGGTCACAATTACTTACTGGTGGAATGGCAACTCAAACCCAGGCTTTTGGACTTGAAACATGACTCTCTTCTGCCTCTATAGTTAATAGTGTGGAGAAGTAAAGATGTTATTACCATCAAAACAAAAGGCACCTCAGAAATGAACATGCCAAGTTTGTGGGATCAACTGTATGTGAGACATACAATTTGCTAAACCAGAATTTAGGGAAAATGACAAAACTGATAATGAAACCCAGGAAAGTGAAACTGAGTCATAAGTTTTTTTAATAAGGTGGGGAGGAGTGTGTGATTGCCACTGAATACATTTAACTGATACAGCTACCAAATTTTAAGATCACTTAGTTGCTTTACATTTTTAGCAATAAGATTAAAATTCTGGCTTTAGTTTCATAATACAATTAACTTATTACATTAACATATTTTCAGATATAGTATAATGCAGTATTTCTGTGATAAAGGGACAGATGGTAATCAACTGAAAAACCATGAAGAAATTTAACAATGAGCAAAATCAAGCCTTGACTCAATGTTTCCAAGATTTATTCATTTAAATAAGATGCTTAATATATTTTTAATGTGTCATTTTATCCGTCCCATATAAGTGAAATGCACCTGCAGCTGGCATTGTAATTTGGCAAATTACATTTCATTTACTCATAATTTAGAATGATAAAAACTACACCTCAAGGATCCTGATACTCTGCTTTTGCTAACAGGTGACAAAAAGTCTAAATAAATTAGGATCCCAAATTTAACCTCAAGCCTCATTTTAAACAATATAAGGCTCTCTTCTTTTATTTTTTATTTTTTTTCTTTTTGAGACGGAGTCTCGCTTTGTCGCCCAGGCGGGAGTGCAGCAGCGTCATCTCGGCTCACTGTAAGCTCCGCCTCCCGAGTTCACGCCATTCTCCTGCCTCAGCCTCCCCAGTAGGTGGGACTACAGGCACCCGCCACCATGCCCGGCTAAGTTTTTCTATTTTTTAGTAAAGACGGGGTTTCACCATGTTAGCCAGGATGGTCTCGATCTCCTGACCTTGTGATCCGCCCGCCTCGGCCTCCCAAAGTGCTGGGTTTACAGGCCTGAGCCACCACGCCCGGCCGCCTAAGTCTCTCTTCTTAACAAAAAAGAAAGCCAATGAGCTACATGCCTTATGTGAAAAACTGCTCTTTTATTGCAGATGTAAATATTCTATTGGAAATAAGACTAGAAGAACTCAAAATTTAAAAAAAATTAATTTTAAAAACTCAAAATTAACTGAACAGAATTTCATTCCACAAAGGCAAAATACCCCTAAACTTTTTAAAATCAGCCAGTCACGCAACTGCACTTTTTTTTTTTTTTTGAGACCGAGTCTCGCTCTGTCCCCGCTCTGTCCCCAGGCTGGAGTGCAGTGGCGCCATCTCGGCTCACTGCAACCTCAGCATCCCAGGTTCAAGCGATCTTCCTACCTCAGTCTCCCAAGTAGCTGGGACTACAGGTGCGTGCCACCACGCCCAGCTAATTTTTTTTTTTTTGTATTTTTAGTAGAGACGGGGTTTCACCATGTTGACCAGGCTGGTCTCGATCTCCTGACCTCATGATCTTCCCACCTTGGCCTCCCAAAGTGCTGGGATTACAGGCGTGAGTCACTGCGCCTGGTCGATAGATTAGATTAGATAGATAGATAGATAGATAAAGATAGATAGATATAGATATAAATATATATAAAGACACACACACACACACACGTATATTTTGGAGACAGAGTCTTGCTCTGTCCCCCCAGGATGGAGTGCAGTGGTGCAGTCTCTGCTCACTGCAACCTCCACCTTCCACATTCCAGCAATTCTGCCTCAGCCTCCCAAGCAGCTGGGACTACCGGCGTGCACCACCACACCCGGCTAATTTTTGTATTTTTAGCAGAGTGGGGGTTTCACCATGCTGGCCAGGCTGCTTGAACTCCTGACATGAGGTGATCCGCCCACCTCGGCCTCCCAAAGTGCTGAGATTACTAGCGTTGAGCCACCACACCCAGCCTCAATTACCTGTGAACAGACTGCAAGATTATTCTAAATAAATTTTACAAAAACATCAAACAACAAAATATTTCTACTCATAAAAATATCTCATCCGGACGCGGTGGCTCACGCCTGTAATCCCAGCACTTTGGGAGGCTGAGACGGGCAGATCATGAAGTCAGGAGTTCGAGACCAACCTGGCCAATATGGTGAAACCCTGTCTCTACTAAAAATACAAAAATTAGCCTGGCATGGTGGTGTGCGCCTGTAATCCCAGCTACTCAGGAGGCTGAGGCAGAATTGCTTGAACCCGGGAGGCGGAGGTTGCAATGATCCGAGATCACCCCACTGCACTCGAGCCTGGGCGACAGAGCGAGACTCAAACAAACAAACAACAACAACAAAAAATCTCTAGCATTCATCAATTACCATGTGTGAGGAACAGGACTAAAACTCTACACTATACCATTTTACAAAAAGGGAAAACTAAAGCTTGAAGTTACTTGCCTAAAGTTACTGCTGCAGCTAAGTAATTCACTGTAATCATTAGGTTGCCGCTAAATCCAGAAAAAACAATTTTAGATTGAAAATGATGGAGAAGTTATTTTGAAATAACATTCCTCCATTTGTCTAAAATGATAGCTCTTGTTTCTGCAACAGGACTTCAGGGTTTCCAACGGAAGATAGGGTTAATCCATTCTTTATAACTCTGCATTTGTACCAAAGCCCCCAGCTGTCACCCATTTTGGCAACTACAGGACAATAACCCGAAGGCAGAATGACCACCAGCATTTATGGAGGAGCATTTCCTATGTCAGAAAACGTGGAAGGCAATTCAAACATCTCAACCTTCACAAGATCAACAAGAGGTAGGTGGCATTACCTGATTTTACAACTACAGAAATTAGGATTCAGAAACCCCAAATTATGCCGCTAACCTGGCCCTAGAAATTCAAGGTCTGAATGTAAAACAGTATTCTATTAGTCTGCCTAGTCATAAATCAAATTATGTCTATATCCCTTCCCTCCTAAAACATAAGAAAGCTGGAACTAGATGTCTGATTCTTAGTGCTAGTAAGATCAGCGCTGCAGTCACTGCTCACACAGGGCTACTGAACACTTGAAATGACTTAGTATAGCTGAATTAAACCGTAACCACTGTTACTTAAGTAAACAATAATCCCTTCTTTGTACCCCTTGGGCTTTAGTAACTTACGTATCAATTTTAATTCCAAAAACTAATTTGGCTGAACAACCAAGATAAGCCAAAAAATATTTCTTATTGCAACAAATTTGCTCTTCAATGATGCGAATGAAGATTCTCCGAAAATTCAAGGTGGATCACAACGGTTTTCATGACACGATTCCCCTCTGGTAGACCTCTCTTAAAAGATGTCGCAGGTATGAAATAAGACTGAGCCACGGGAGAAGCGCAGCCCTTTGGACTCCCCTGCAATTTCTATAGCATTCACTCATATCTTGGAAGCACTTAGAACGAAGCTACCAAGAGGGTTTAAGAATGCAGCAATGAGCCAGGCGGATCATCTGAGGTCAGGAGTTCGAGACTAGCCTGACCAACACGGTGAAACCCCGTCTCTACTAAACACAAAAAATCACCGGGCGTGGTGACGCCCGACTGTAATCCCAGCTACTGGGGAGACTGAGGCAGGAGAAGCGCTTGAACTCGGGAGGCGGAGGTTGCAGTGAGCCGAGATCGCGCCACTGCACTACAGCCTGGGCGACAGAGCGAGATTCCGTCTCAAAAAAAAGAATGCAACAATGATACTGCACTGAGCATGCGGATTTAGCCTCAGACTAAAATTTGCGACAAAAATGCACGACTTTTTAGTTAAGAGTAGAGGTTTAAAAAGATGAACGACAAAAAAAGAGACAACCTCCTCCCCAGGCCACACACACCCGAGATTGCAACAGAAATCAAGAGTGCATTTGCACGGCTAAAGTGTCTGGGGAAAACAAAACGGGAAAAATCCTTCCTCCAAAATGGAATTCCTACGGGGCACTAGAGCCCCCGGAGCGGCGCAGCCAGCGCCATCGCCTATTGAGGGCCGCACCACGCGGTCGCCCTGCGCGGCCCACAGGCTGGTGGGAGGCAATGACCCCTCCTGTGAAGGGCGGCGGCCGAAGGCAGCAAGCCTGGCCAGGGGAGAGAGGACCCACTCACGTTCTCGAAGCCTGTTCTTGAAGTTGGGGTCACTTCGTCTTTTGCGGTCGAAGTAGATGCAGTACCCAATGAAAAGGGCCCCGCATACACCGGCGGCGATGGCGCTGTTCCGACCCACCATCTTCTCTACAACGCTGAGCGTGGACGGTGGCGGCAGGGACCGCGAAGGAGCGGTGGGCCACGAACCCTCAGAGCGGTCGGCGCAGCTCACACCCGACGGCCGCGGGCCAGGAACACAGAAAGGCCGAGCACACGCCACTTCCGGTCCCAGTCAACTAAGGGCCTCGAGGTCGTCCGCGGCAGAGCCTGAGCAGAGGCCCAGAGCGCGGCTCCTGCGCCTGCGCAGTGGGCGAAGCCGGCGTTTCCCCTGCGCCGCTGGGTGTACGCACTGGAGTCGGGAATTTGCACGTGACCACGGACTTTTTTTCATATCCGCCGACCATGCTGTAACGAGGCGTACGCGTTACTGGCGTGCACGTACTCAGAAGACTAGCTGACAGCCTTGTTTGTGGCAGACAGAGATGCAGGGTCCCAGACTGCGAATGCTTCATCTTGTCTAACACAGGCAGCCTGTGACTTGTTTGAATTAAACTGTACTTTCTTTTCAGGTTGCCACAATCCATTGTGCGTAGTGGTTCCATTTCAAAAGAATGTTACAGGATAGCCTCATTTTATGATAACTGGAATAAAATTAAATGGAGTAATTTCTTGAAAAATATACACAATTGAAGAAAAAATAGAAAACGTGAATTGTTTTATAGCCACACGAAAACATACACATGATCAGGCCAGGCGCGGTGGCTCACGCCTGTAATCTCAACACTTTGGGAGGCCGAGGCAGGCGGATCACTTAAGGCCAGGAGTTTGAGACCAGCCTGGCCAACATAGTGAAACCCTGTCTCTACTAAAAATACAAAAATTAGCTGGCCATGGTGGCCGGGGCCTGTAATCCCAGCTACTCTGGAGGCTGAGGCGGGAGAATCGCTTGAACCAGGAGGCAGAGGTTGCAGTGAGCCAAGATCGAGCCACTGCACTCCAGCCTGAGTGACAGATCAGGAGTCCGTCTCAAAAAAACAAAATATATATATATATGATCTAACTTAAGATATTGACAAGGAAAATCGTGGGCAGAAAGCAGGCATTAAACAGACACTGTAAGTTGAGGGGTATCGAAGTCAAGCATCAGTGTCAAGAGACATTGGAACCAGAGCTACCTTACCTTGAATAGGGGCTGGGTAAAATGAGGCTGAGACCTATTGGGGCACATTCCCAGGAAGTTTGGCATTCTTGGTCACAGGATATTTACAGGGAAGGGAACAAGTTAATAATGTTTACCTAACAGACCCAGGAAATGTCCTGATGTCCTGATATCTTAAGAACAAAAGCATTCTTAGTTTAATTTTCCCTTTAAAGATAATATTGATCCTTGCAGAAGACAGTAGTTACACAGGATTAACAGTCCTTTGACAAAGACCAGGCAGTGTCTCACACCTGTAATCCCAGCACTTTGGGAGGCCCAGATGGGCGGATAGCTTGAGCCCAAGAGTTCAACACCAGCCTGGGCAACATGGTGAGACCCTGTCTCCACAAAAAAATTAAAAACTTAGCCAGGCGTGGTGGCACACACCTGTGGTCCCAACTACATGGGGAATGATGCGGAAGTATCCCTTAATCCCAGGAGGTTGAGGCTGCAGTTGAGTTATGATTGTACCACTGCAGTCCAAACTGGGTGACAGGGTAAGACCTCGTCTCAAAACAAACACACAAAAAATCCTTTGTCACAAGCTCTTGGAGTAGAGCTCATCTTCCTCATTTTTTTGCTGTTCAATACAAACAAGCCTTGTACCTAAGGTGGACATGTTCCTTCTCTTGCTTTAGGGTATGCACCATTCTACAAAGTAACCTTTCACTTTTTTTTTTTTTTTTTTTTTTTTTTGAGACAGTCTTGCTGTCACCCAGGCTGGAGTGCAGTGGCATGATCTTGGCTCACTATAACCTCCACCTCCTGGGTTCAAGCGATTCTCCTGCCTCAGCCTCCCCAGTAGCTCGGATTACAGGCATGTGCCACCACACCCAGCAAATTTTTGTATTTTTAGTAGAGATGGGGTTTCACCATGTTGGCCAGGCTAGTCTCAAACTCCTGACATCTGGTGATCCACCCACCTCGGCCTCCCGAAGTGCTGGGATTACAGGCATGAGCCACCGTGAGTGATCTTCTTTATTTTCTTAATAAACTTGTTTTCACTTTACTCTGTGGACTGGCCCCAAATTCTTTCTTAGGCAAGATCCAAGAACCCTTTGTTGGGGTCTGGATCTGGATCCTTTTCCAGTAACACGAGGTTGCATAATAAAGAATTTGGCTGGCCTTTGTCCCCAGTTCCTGGGAGTTCTAGCCCCTTGGAATTGATGAGTGATTCACTCCTGTAATCCTAGCACTTTGGGAGGCCAAGGTGGGAGGATCACTTGAGTCCAGCAGTTTGAGAGCAGCCTGGGCAACAAAGTGAGATACTGAAGCGACATCGTTTGGGGTAATACCCAAGGTTCATTGCTTCATGCCAAGGAAATCAAGAACTTGAGCACACACGGAGTAAGGTTAAGAGCAGAGGTTTAATAGGCAAAAGAGAAAGGAGGCTTGGGTGCAGTGACTCACGCCTGTAATCCCAGCACTTTGAGAGGCCAAGGCAGGTGGATCACCTGAGGTCAGGAGTTCGAGACCAGCCTGGCCAACATGGTGAAACCCCGTCTCTACTAAAAATACAAAAAATTAGCCAGGCGTGGTGGCAGGCGCCTGTAATCCCAGCTACTTGGGAGGCTGAGGCAGGAGAAGCGCTTGAACCCAGAAGGCAGAGGTTGCAGTGAGCCAAGATCACGCCACTGCACTCCAGCCTGGGAGACAACAGCCAAACTCCATCTCAAAAAACAAAACAAAAACAAAAAAACCTTCAAAGGTAGTATCACAATGTGAATAAACTGAGAATGTGGAAGTCTCCACATTTCACATACACCATCCATAAAGAAGTATAAAACTCAACACATGAATAGCAGACGATGCTATCAGCAGATAATAGCACTTTTATTAGCAGTACTCAGCAGGAAAAGAAAAAGCAGTTCCTGGTTGTTATTTCTGTTTTCTCTGTTTCTTAGGGCGTCCACTTTTCTTCTGTCCTTTCTTCTTCGTTTTAAGGAGAACAGCTTTTTCTCCAATAAATAAGCTTTTAGGATGTCCTTCTGCAGTTTTGGAAGTAAAATTAAGTCCCTGCTTAGGTTTACTGACATTCTTCAATCGTGGATTTGAATTTTGTTGTTTAAATTTTTCTTTATTAACAGAACGCATGACTCTGAGTTTTCTCCCCATGAGTTCAGAATTATTTAATTTCAGAGCAAGATGAACAGAATCTGTATTCTGCAAAAGAAAACACAATACATTAATTGCTACCAGAAACCCATCTGCAAAGAAACTAGTGAAAGTGTCACTTTAACAGATGAGAACGACTTTCAAGCTTGCACAGATAAGCCCCATCCAATCCCAGGTGTATCAGCTGCTGCACTCGAAGTCTCCTCATCACCATGCTCGTCACCAGTGTTTCCTCAGAAAGCACTCAAGCTGCCTTGTGAAATGTTCAGCTAAGTCACAATGCTACAGGCTTCGTGGTTTTTTTTTTTCATTGTAAAATGAGGTTCTAGACTAGATTAGTCATATGCAATATTGGCTTTTTTTCTTTTTTCTTTTTTTGAGACGGAATCTCGCTCTGTTGCCAGGCTGGAGTGCAGTGGCACGATCTCGGCTCACTGTGACCTCTACCTCCTGAGTTCAAGCGATTCTCTTGCCTCAACCTCTCAAGTAGCTGGGATTACAGGCGCGGGCCAACATACCCAGCTAATTTTTGTATTTTTAGTAGAGACAGGGTTTCACCACGTTAGCCAGAATGGTCTCGATCTCTTGACCTTGTAATCTGCCCACCTTGCCCTCCCAAAGTGCTGGGATTACAGGCATGAGCCACCGCGCCTGGCCCCCATATGCAATATTTTAAACGAATAAACCTCCTTCGTATAGCCATCTTTCTGTCAAAGCCCCATTGTATTAGCTGACCAGAGGGCAGGGAACGCTCCATTACGAGATGTTGGACTAGACACCCTCTAGGGTTCCATTTAGATCCAAAATTCTGTTATACTTCTGTTCCAATATAGAGCCATTAATGCTAACAACCCTGAATATCCATGAGATGTTTGTTAAAGGACTTTAGAAGCTTATCAAGTAATAGAAGAAAGGGAGCAGACAAGCAGAAAGGTAACTACAATACAGTAACAATGGCAACAAACGCTGTGACAATCTTTCTAAAAAAGCTACCAGGCAATTCTCATCAAGAGTCTTCAAAATGGTAACACATCTTAACCTAGTATATCCTAATGGGGATCTATCTTAAGTAATCTACAATCCAAACTTTTGGGGAAAAAAACATAACCAGGCCAGGCGGGGTAGCTCACACCTATAATCCTAGCACTCTGGGAGGCCAAGGCGGATAGATCACTTGAGCTCAGAAGTTGGAGACCAGCCTGAGAAACATGGTGAATCCTGTCTCTACAAAAAAATACAAGAATTAGCCAGACATGTGGCACACACCTGTAGTCCTAGCTACTCAGGAAGCTGAGATGGGAGGATCGCTAGAGCCTGGGAGGCAGAGGCTGCAGTGAGCTGAGATCGTGCCAAAGCACTCCAGCCTGAGCAACAGAGTGAGACTCTGTCTCAAAAACAAAAAACACATAACCACTGCAATTTCATTATTACAGGGAAAAACAGAGAATTCTACCAAGGTCCAACATGAGAGAAATGACAGTATAAACTCTGTTATATCACTCAATGGAACATGCTTACATAACAGAAAACAACATAAAATAAGATGTAAATATAATTTAAGTTCACAGAGACAAGTTCAACTATAAAAATGGCAGCACAAGGAAAAACTGAAAGGAAATGTAGTAATGGGTTGTTACTGAGAGAAGAAAAATTTATGACATCACATAGTATGTACAGTCAGCTCCCCAAATCCGTGAGTTCAGTATCAGAGGATTCAATCAACTGCAGATAGAAAATACTTGAAAACAACAAATAATATGACAATAAAAAAATTTATTATATATAACAATATACATTCATGCAAATGTGCCATTTTATATAAGGGACTTCAGCATCTGCAGATATATATATACTGTTTGCTATGTGAGAGGGATCCTGGAACCAATACACCGTGGATATCAAGGGATGACAATAGATTATTTTTTTGTTTTGAGATAGGGTCTCACTCTGTCAGTTCGGCTGGAGTGCAGTGGTGCAATCATGGCTCACTACAGCCTTGACCTCCCGTACTTAAGCAATCCTCCAGCCTCAGCCTCCTGATAGGACCACAGGCGCTGGCCACCATGACCAGCTAGATTTTTATTTTTTAATTTTTCTTTCTTATTTTAAAACAGGGTCTCACTCTGCCATCCAGGTTGGGTGGCTCACTGCAGCCTCGACCTCCCAAGGTTCAGGTGATCCTCCTACCTCAGCTCCTCAAGTAAATGGTACTACAGGCATGCACCACCACGCCCAGCTGATTTTTGTATTTTTTTGTAGAGGCGGGATTTCGCCATGTTGCCCAGGCTAGTCTTGAACTCCTGGGCTCAAGTGATCCACCTGCCTTGGCCTCCTAAAGTGGTGGGATTACAGGCGTGAGCCACCGCACCCAGCCTTACTTGTATATTTTTTTGTAGAGTCGGTGTCTACCTATGTTGCCCAAGCTGGACTTGAAGTCCTCACGTTAATCAATCCTCTCGCCTCAGCCCTCCAAAGTGCTGGGATTACAGTCACGCGTCAACATGCCCGGCCTGTATATTCTTTTACTCCTTAATATTGTCAGGCATGAAACACTGGTTAAAAATTAGCGAACTAAATATAACTAATTTTGTACAAAGAATAAAACTTTCTTATACCTTAATGTCAATTATTTACTCTATCATACAGAAGGTAGAGAAGATTCAGTGATTTAGTACTTCTAATATCCAGGATCAAAAACATTTAATTAGTATGAAGAAAGAACTGGGACATCTTTTGGATAGGTGCAGTTGTAGCAATATATTATGGCAGGTTATAAATTCAGTTCTCGTTTTCGGGTTTTTTTTTTTTTTTTGAGACAGAGTTTTGCTCTTGTTGCCCAGGCTGGAGTGCAATGGAGCAATCTCGGCTCACCGCAACCTCTGCCTCCCGGGTTCAAGCGATTGTCCTGCCTCAGCCTCCCAAGTAGCTGGGATTACAGGCATGTGCCACCATGCCCAGCTAATTTTGTATTTTTAGTAGAGATGGGGTTTCTCCATGTTGGTCAGGCTGGTCTCGAATTCCCGACTTCAGGTGATCCACCCGCCTCGGCCTCCCAAAGTGCTGGGATTACAGGCATAAGCCACCACATCTGGCCGGTTTGTTTTTTTTTTTTTGAAACGGAGTCTTGCTCTGTCACCCAGGCTGGAGTGCAGTGGTGTGATCTCGGCTCAATGAAACCTCTGCCTCCCAGGTTCAAGTGATTCTCCTTCCTCGGCCTCCCAAGTAGCTGGGATTACAGGTATGAGCCACCACATCTGGCTAATTTTTAAATTTTTTGTATTTTTTTTTTTCCCCCTTGAGATGGAGTCTTGCTCTGTGGCCCAGGCTGGAGTGCAGTGGCACGATCTCGGCTCACTGCAACCTCCACCTCCCGGGTTCAAGCGATTCTCCTGCCTCAGCCTCCTGAGTAGCTGGGATTATAGGCACCTGCCACCACACCTGGATAATTTTTGGACTTTTAGTAGAGACGAGGTTTTACCATGTGGGCCAGGCTGGTCTCAAACTCCTGAGCTCAAGAGATTCACCCGTCTCGGCCTCCCAAAGTGCTGGGATTACAGGCATGAGTCACTGCACCTAGCCCAGTTTTCTTAAGATGGAATTTGAGAATGGAAGTGAAAGTTATGTCTCAATGATGACATGCAACAGTGTCAATGCCTCCCAGGGCACTTCGAAGGACAGTGACAATGCATTAGTCTCCCATACCTCAAAGAGCACATAGCCAAACCCTTTGCCGATGCCTGTCATTTTGTCTCTCACAATCCTCACGGCCATGATACTTCCACAGTCCAGAAAGTGCTTCTCAATGGCAGATTCTTCAACTTCTGAAAACAAATTCAATCAAAATGGAAGTAAAGAGTTGGGAGCCCCTCAGAAACATGGAGTTGTTTAATAATACAGCTAGTTAAGCATGGTCCCATGAAAATAAGCCATTATATTGCACACTTTTTAGTACATGTGCTGCCACGGCAAACACATTGCATGCTTTAAAATTAGTCTTAAATCAAAACATTAAGTTACTACTCAGTTCTTATTTCCTTGTTATTTATTTAGTAATATTAACTGTACTTTGTTTAAACAAACTTACTATAAGGGAGATTCCCCACAAAAACCGATCTCTTGTCTCTCTGAAACAAAAAGACAGTTAATAAAAATCACTCACTAGACCAGAAAATGGAAGTCATCGAAAATCCTCCCTATCCCTCCTTCCCCCCATATCTGACAGGTCACCCATCTTCTAATTTAACCACACATCATGTTCTTTGATTCTGTTTCTTCTGTCTTCCCTGCTGGACTGTGTGTGGGTACCAGAGGAGGGGAGTGACCTTTTGTTCACAGCTGGCACTGACACACGGTAGGGATCAGGAACGGACTGCTATATTGGGAGCATGCCAACTTTTTCTGTAAAGGGCCAGATAGCAAATATTATAGGCTTGGCAGGCCATGTGGAATCTGCTGCAACTACTCAACTCTGCCATTATACCTTGAGAACAGCCCTTGGATAATACACAAATGAATGGATGTCGCTGTGTGTCAAAAGAAAACTTCATTAACAAAAAAAAAGCAGCACGTAGATTTGGCTCTCTGCCATAGTTTGTTGACCCTGTACTGGGTCCCCAAGTCAAGCCAGGGCTTTCATCCAGGTCGTTGTCATTTCTCCACTAAGTTCCTTTGATATCGACAGAAATGCACTCTATGTTTCTGTGGGTGAACTGTTATAACTGTCCTTCATTCATTTCTAGGCACCTTTGTCAAGTCCAAATCTGGTCATGTCACTCTTAGTTTAAATTTTTAGAATAGCTCCTGAACAAAATCCAGACTCCTCTGTGTGAAGCACGGTAGACAAGGTCTTCATGATTTGGCCTCTGCCTATTTGTCCAACAGCAACTCTTACATACCTCACCCACCTAATAATTGTACCAAGCTCTTGCCATCTCCTGAGTGAATTAGTTTCTGTCCTCACCATTTATACTGTTTTTCCTCCCAGACATGGCCCTCAGCCTTTACAACACTTTTGGTCTACATAAGCCTTCTCTTCTTTCTTTTTTCCCCCCGCTTCTCCACAGGGTAAGGTCTATCTCCTCATCTTTCAAGACTATTATGAAATTTATTCCCCTGGAAACTTGCCTTGTCCCTTCTTCCTGGCATATCCCCAAGTCAAGTGTCCCAATGCTGAGCTGACAAATCATCCTGTGCATTGATGATAGTACTTATACAACAGTGACATGACCTGTCACTCCAACCCTAACATATACTGTCAGCTCCTAGGAAGTTGAGACTATGTCTTAGAACTGCATCTCTGACAGAGTGTGTACTAAAAACTGTCTAATGAATAATTGAACTTTCTAGACCTCGGTCTATAATGTGTTAGACCAGATGATGTCTAATGTACCTTCTGACCTAATTATGCTTATTTGAAGAGGACTATGTTTTTGTTTCTTTTTAAGAAACAGGGTCGCCCTCTGTTGCCCAGGCTAGAATGCAGTGGCACGACTACAGCTCACTGCAGCCTCAAACTCCTGGGCTCAGGTGGTGCTCCCACCTCAGCCTTCTGAGTAGCTGGGACTGTCGGCATGCATCACACACTTGACTAATTTTTTTTTTTTTTTTTGTAAAGGCAGGGTCTTGCTACATTGCTCAGGCTGCTCTTAACTCCTGGGCTCAAGTGATCCTCCCGCCTTGGCCTCCCAAAATGTTAGGATTACAGGCATGAGCCATTGTGCCCAGCCAGGACTACGTTTTTGAAGGGAATGTTGACCTCGGTCCTTGTGCCTCTCTTGCCATCAACTCTGTAACCACAGAGGACATAGGCTGTTTCCTTCTGCGCTTCCCTCACATTGCTGATTCCAGTCCCCTTCCAGGAAAAGCCTGGAAGGAAACATTTCTCTCTACAAAGCTCTCGTTCTTTAAACAAATCAAGTACTACTTACAGATGAGGTCTCAGATGCGAGATCAACTCTAATACGAAATCCATCTGCAATCTGGGCCCCATTTCTGTATTATAAATACAAAGGGAAAATGGTTGTTAAAAATGAGCACTCGATTACTAAAACATCTATGCTAAAGTGAAACCAAAGAATAAAAAAAGTACTCATACATACTTATAGGACAATTATTCTGTTCAAACCTAAGGGATAAAATTACCTTTTCAATGCTTGCGTGGCAGCACTCTCCTCCTTAAACACAACATAGGCATTAATATTTTTCTGATCAGGATGAATTTTACGTCTACACCAAAAAAAAAAAAAGAAAGAAAGAAAAGAGAGACAAGGTAAATTTCTTAGCCTCAAAGTCACTAGAAAAAAATCTAGCTGTTTTCAACTCTTAACACACATGACAAGAATTCCTGGGTGGACATTTCATCTCTTTGAATAAATATTTAGTAATAACTCAAAAAATAACACACAACTTATAAAGATATTAGTGGAGACACAACCCATACTTTCTTAGGAATCATAACCATGAGAAAACAGATGAACCATGTATATGAATCCCTGAGAACCATACAAGAACTAAAAACTGACATCTTAGCTGCAGTCCGTATCTAACACACATATAAACAGTTGTGAAAGACGTGAGTTTTCCTCTTTACTGTGAAACACCCATATAGAAGAGTGCACAAACTACGTATAGCTGAGTGAATTAACAACAGCTCAACGTGCCTTGTAGCCCACTCAGAAGCCTCTCTGTGGCCCTTTCCCGTTGCAGCCCCTCCTTCCCTCCAAAGGCAACCACCATTCCCATTTTTATAGGAACTACTTCCCTGCACATCTTTGTGGTTTTATCAACCAAGTGTCTATTCTTAGACATCATACTTTGGTCTTGTCTATACTTTTGACCTGATATGTCTTTTGAATCTTGTTTAATTTACAGAGTTTTCTCTGTATCTCTTTATCTCTCACTATTTGGCCTGCAGAATTCCCCACAGCCTGGATTTTGTGACTGCAAGCTCATCAAGTAGTTTAACACAAACCTTTGTCCTCTATATTTCTTGTAAACTGGCAGCTGCATCAAAAGGATGGATCAGACTCAGACATGACCCCTTTGTCGCGACTGCTGGTGGGTGTTGTGTTCTTTCCAGGGAGTCATGTTATGACTGGTTTTTACCCTTTTGTCAATGACTGCAGCTGCTGCTACTAAATGCCTAAACTCATTAAGTCACTAGGTTTGCAAAATGGTGATATAATTTGGATGTGAGGAGTTAGCAAAAAGGACCTAGTAATGAACACAGATCTTTCCCTGAAGACATCAACCTACTGTTTTGAAGTAAGAAAAATGCTACTACACAAATGAGTATCATCAAGAAGGGAACTGGAAAATAGTGCCTGACATGACTGATGGCATTCTGTAATAATACACTATACTAATGCTTTTGTATTGATTAAACCAGCTGTGATTTACTGAATGCCTAATATATACCAGACACTCAGCTAGACATTTTATGTATTTCATTTAATCTCACATCTCCAACACGGTGTTTTTTTTCTGATTTTATGAATAAGGAAGCTGAGACTGGAAGAGGTACGTGACTGCGATGAAATGGCAACAAGTGGCTGGCCTAGGACTGAAACCAAGTCTAGCTGACTCTAGAGCCCTGCTCTTCACACAACACACAGCTGCCGACAACATCCAAATCCAACACATCCTAGTGCACCCCCAGGAACAAATGCTGGAGTTCCGCTTCCACCTAGAATGTAAAAAGCCAGAAAGTGCATCACTCCTGCTCTTACCAGTTAAGAAGAAACCAGATAACCCACAGCATCATAACTTTTGTTGCAGCCATCACAGAGCTGAAGTCTTGGGGAAAGCCAGCAGCTAGAAGCTAAGGACAGGCCTGCTTCCTCCAATGAGAGACAGAGGAAGCACTGGCTCTTCTGGCTCTACGATGGCCGAGCACAGGGGCAAAATGCTGGGCACCAGACAAGCAGGAAAGATTCCAGCCATGATCTCACTAAAACACTAGAGCTCAGCGTGGGCTGGGCCTGAAACAGAAGTCCTGGAAGCTGCCGAGGCAGGAGTGTGCGCCCATCCTCAGGATCTGCCCCACTGACCTCCACTCCCTGGGAAAGGCTGAGATCGCAGCTATGGGTGCTGCAGGCCTGGAGGACGGAATGGCCAAAGTGTGGGAAAGGCACAAAGCCCCACCTGGATTCTTCTTGAGAGGTGACAGCGTGCTGGCAGTCCTCAGAGCCCTCGCTTGCTCTCCGCACCTCCTCTGCCTGGGCTCCCACTTTGACGGCACTTGAGGAGCCCTTCAGCCCACCGCTGCGCTGTGGGAGCCCGTTTCTGGGCTGGCCAAGGCCGGAGCCGGCTCCCTCAGCTTGCAGGGAGGTGTGGAGGGAGAGGCGCGAGTGGGAACCAGGGCTGCGCGGCGCTTGCGGGCCAGCTGGAGTTCCAGGTGGGCGTGGGCTTGGCGGGCCCCGCACTCGGAGCAGCCGGCCGGCCCTGCAGGCCCTGCCGGCCCCGGGCAGTGAGGGGCTTAGCACCCGGGCCAGTGGCTGCGGAGGATGTACTGGGTCCCCCAGCAGTGCCAACCCACTGGCGCTACGCTCGATTTCTCACCGGGCCTTAGCTGCCTTCCCGCAGGGCAGGGTTCGGGACCTGCAGCCCGCTATGCCTGAGCCTCCCACCCCCTCCATGGGCTCCTGTGCGGCCCGAGCCTCCCCGAGGAGCGCCACCCCCTGCTCCACGACGCCCAGTCCCATCGACCACCAAAGGGCTGGGGAGTGCAGGCGCACGGCATGGGATTGGCAGGCAGCTCCACCTGCAGCCCCGGTGCAGGATCCACTGGGTGAAGCCAGCTGGGCTCCCGAGTCTGGTGGGGATGTGGACAACCTTTATGTCTAGCTCAGGGATTGTAAATACACCAATCAGCACCCTGTGTCTAGCTCAGGGTCTGTGAATGCACCAATCGACACTCTATATCTAGCTACTCTGGTGGGACCTTGGAGAACTTTTATGTCTAGCTCAGGGATTGTAAATACACCAATCAGCACTCTGTATCTAGCTCAAGGTTTGTAAACACACCAATCGGCACCCTGTGTTTAGCTCAAGGTTTGTGAGTGCACCAATCGACACTCAGTATCTAGCTGCTCTGGTGGGGCCTTGGACAACCTTTATGTCTAGCTCAGGGATTGTAAATACACCAATCGGCACTCTGTATCTAGCTCAAGGTTTGTAAACACACCAATCGGCACCCTGTGTTTAGCTCAAGGTTTGTGAGTGCACCAATCGACACTCTGTATCTAGCTGCTCTGGTGGGGCCTTGGACAACCTTTATGTCTAGCTCAGGGGTTGTAAATACACCAATCGGCACTCTGTATCTAGCTCAAGGTTTATAAACACACCAATCAGCACCCTGTGTTTAGCTCAGGGTTTGTGAGTGCACCAATCGATACTCTGTATCTAGCTGCTCTGGTGGGGCCTTGGAGAACCTTTGTGTCGATACTCTGTATCTAACTAATCTGATGGGGACATGGAGAACCTTTGTATCTAGCTCAGGGATTGTAAATGCACCAATCAGCACCCTGTCAAAACAGACCACTCGGCTCTACCAATCAGCAGGATGTGGGTGGGGCCAGATAAGAGAATAAAAGCAGGCTGCCCTAGCCAGCAGTGGCAAGCCACTCGGGTCCCCTTCCACACTGTGGAAGCTTTGTCCTTTCACTCTTTGCAATAAATCTTGCTACTGCTCACTCTTTGGGTCCACGCTGCTTTTATGAGCTGTAACACTCACCGCAAAGATCTGCAGCTTCACTCCTGAAGCCAGCGAGACCACGAGGCCACCGGGAGGAACGAACAACTCCAGACGCGCTGCCTTAAGAGCTGTAACACTCACTGCGAAGGTCTGCAGCTTTACTCCTGAGCCAGTGAGACCACGAACCCACCAGAAGGAAGAAACTCCGAACAAATCCGAACATCAGAAGGAACAGACTCCCGACGCACCACCTTAAGAGCTGTAACACTCACCGCGAGGGTCCGCGGCTTCATTCTTGAAGTCAGTGAGACCAAGAACCCACCAATTCCGGACACATTCTCTTGATGGAGGAGAAGGCTAAGCTGCTAGGGGAGGGATAGCAAACCCTGTCACTCCAGGGCACAGAGAAGACCCCTACAGCCGGAGGAAGGGAGGAGTCCAGCTACCGGGGGAGAGGTGGGAAACATCCTCTGCATAATCCCCACTAAAGGTACAAGGCATTTGGCACAGCTTGGCTGCCCCGGGAAAAAAGCCCTGATCAGGTGCACTCCTGAGACACGGAAACACTAAGACAAGACAGCAGAGACCCTGCTGCGCCCACTCCCACCAGACTACCAAGCCAACTGACAAGCAATAGCACTTTTTTTATTTTGAGACGGAGTTTCTCTCTTGCAGTCCAGGCTGGAGTGCAATGGCATGATCTCGGCTCACTGCAACCTCTAACTCCCATGTTCAAGTGATTCTCCTGCTTCAGCCTCCAGAATAGCTGGGATTACAGGCGCACGCCACCACTCCTGGCTAATTTTTGTATTTTTAGTAGAGACGGGGTTTCACCACGTTGGCCAGGCTGGTCTTAAAATCCTGACCTCAGGTGATCCGCCCACCTTGACCTCCCAAAGTAATGGATTATAGGCGTGAGCCACTGTGCCTGGCCAACAACAGCACTCTCTAAATGAGATCTTCAATAAAACTTAAAACTTTCAATCTTTAAGAGACACCTCTGGGCGTGTGTGGTGGCTCATGCTTGTAACCCTAGCACTTTGGGAGGCAGAGGTGGGTGGATCATCTGAGGTCAGGAGTTCGAAACCAGCCTGGCCAACATGGTGAAACCCCGTCTCTACTAAAAATACAAAAATGACCCGAGTGTGGTGGCGCACGCTTGTAATCCCAGCTACCTGAGAGGCTGAGGCAGGAGAATCAGTTGAACCCGGGAGGCGGAGGTTGCAGTGAGCTGGGATCGCACCACTGCACTCCAGCCTGGTGACAGAGCAAGGATCCATCTCAAAAAAAAAAAAAAAAAAAAAGACACCTCTAAAAAAGCCAGCCACAAACTGGAGCAAAATATCTGAAACACACATAGCAGGAAAAGGTGTTATATCTAGAATATATAAATAACTCCTTACAACCATATAAAAATAATTTAAAAGTCACTAAAAAATGGGCAAAATTTTTGTACCAACATTTCACCAAAGAATAGATACAAATAGTAAGCACATAAGATGCCTAACATTTTTAGTCACTGTGGTTGACAAACCTTCAGAATGTCTAAAATTAAATGACAATGCCAAGTGCTGGTGAGGATGTGAAGCAACTGACATTCTCATCGATAGCTGGTAGGAATGTAAAATGGTACAAACACTTTGGAAAACAATTTTGCAGCTTCTTAGAAAGTTACAATATACCGTAAGATCTGGCAATCCGACCAGGCAGTTTCTCAAAAGAAATGATCCGTACCCAAATTTTTTTTAGCAGTTTTATGTATAATAGCCAAAGGCTGAAATAACCTGAATGTTCATAAACTGGTGAATGGGGCCGGGTGCGATGGCTCACGCCTATAATCCCAGCACTTTGGCAGTCTGAGGCGGGCGGATCACCTGAGGTCAGGAGTTTTAGACCAGCCTGGCCAACATGGCAAAGCCCCATCTCTACTAAAAGTATGAAAAAATTAGCTGGGCATGGTGGTATGTGTCTGTAATCCCAGCTGCTTGGGAGGCTGAGGCATGAAAATCACTTGAACCCGGGAGGTAGAGGTTGCAATTAGCCGAGATGGTACCACTGCACTCCAGCCTGAGCGACAGAGCAAGACTCCATCACAATACAATACAGTACAATACAGTACAATACATCACAATAAATACAACACAACACAATAAACAGGTGAATGGATAAACAAATACTGTCATACAAGGGAATACTACTGAGCAATAAAAACGAATTAATTACCAATGCATTGCAATAATAAGAACAAATCTCAGACAGGCACGGTGGCTCAAGCCTGTAATTGCAACACTTTGGGAGGCAAAGGCAGGAGGGCTACTTGAGCTCAGGAGTTCAGGACCAGTCTGGGCATTAGTGACACCTTGGCTCTACTAAAAACTTAAAAATCAGCCGGGTGTGGTGGCGAGCACCTGTAGTCCCAGGTATTTAGGAGGCTGAGGCAGAAGGACTGCTTGAGCCCAGGTGATAAGGCTGCCGTGAGCCATTATCGTGCCACTGAACTCCAGCCTGGGCAACAGCAGAAGACACTGTTCCCCTCCACCAACCCTCCCCCACAAAAAAACAAACCTCAAAATCATTATGCTGAGCAAATTAGACAAGAGTATATCCTGTATGATGACTCTACTTATATAAAATTCTGGAAAAAGCAAACTAACACATAGAGACAGAAAGCAAATGAATGGCTGCCTGAGGACAGAGGTGGAGGGACATATTGCAGAGGGTTAGAAGAAACTCGAGATGATAAAGTGTTTGGTATCTGGACTATGGCAGTGGTTTCAAGATTGCCTACATATGTTAAAATTATAAAATTGTACATGTCAAATATGTGCAGTTTACTGGAAGTAGCCTTAATAAACTAAAAAAAAAAAAAAAAGGTTTTAAACATTTTGGCTATAAGAAAAAGGAAAAAAGTTTTACATGGCAAAATTTCCCATAAGCCAAGTCAAAAAGCCAACAAGCTAGGGTGTGGTGGTGTGCACCTGTAGTTCCAGCTACTTGGGAGGCTGAGGCAGAATGATTACTTGAGCCTAGGAATTCCAGGCTATAGTGGACTATGACTGAGTCACTGCACTTCTGCTGGAGAACAAAGCAACACTCTATCTCTTAAAAATAAAATAAGGCCCAGCGCGGTGGCTCATGCCTGTAATCCCAGCACTTTGGGAGGCCGAGGGTGGGGCAGATCACCTGAGGTCATGAGTTTGAGACCAGCCTGACCAACATGGGGAAACCCCGTCTCTACTAAAAATACAAAATTAGCCAGGTGTAGCGCACATGCCTGTAATCCCAGCTACTCAGTAGGCTGAGGCAGGAGAATCACTTGAACCAGGGAGGCGGAGATTACGGTGAGCTGAGATCACGCCATTGCACTCCAGCCTGGGCAACAAGAGCAAAACTCCGTCTCAAAAAATAAATTAAATAAATAAACAAATAGCAAATGACAAATAGAGAAAAATATTCATAATTCATGTCACAAAAGACTGATTTCATGAACATCCCACAGATCAATAAGACTAATAATTCAAATAAAAGAAAGCACAAATGACTCTTAAATTACATGACAAGATGCTCACTCATAAGAGAAATTCAAATTAGAAATACCACACTCAGGTTTCCAACAACCACAAAGCTCAAAAACATACTTTTTTTTTTTTTTTTGAGATAGGGTCTCACTGTCATCCAGGCTGGAGCGTAGTGGTGCAATCATGGTTCACTGCAGCCTCCATTCTCCGGGCTCAAGTGATCCTCCCACCTCAGCCCCCAGAGTAGCTGGACTACAGGCGTGCACCACCTTGCCCAGCTAATTTTTTTGTTTCTTTGTAGAGATGAGGTCTCGCCACGCTGCCCAGGCTGGTCTCGAACTCCTAGGCTCATGCAATCCACCCACCTCAGCATCCCAAAGTGCTGGGATTGCAGGCATGAGCCATCTTCCCTGGCCAACATACTGTTTTTGTAAAGTAAAAGACTTTACTGTTGGTAAAGATGTGGGAACATAAATAGGTTGCAATCTCTACGAGACAGCAGTCAAAATTGTGAATGCAAATACCCTTCTGACTGAGCAATGCCACTGCTAGAAGTTTATCCTACAGATAAGTTTAGCTTATGTACAAAATTACCTAAGTACAAGGTCACTCATTTACTCCAACATTATTTGTTTTGTTTTGAGAGAGCGGGTCTTGCTTGTCGCTCAGGCTACAGTGCAGTGGTGTGATCACAGTTCACTGAAGCCTCAAGCTCCTGGGCTCAAGTGATCATCTCACGTCAGCTTCCCAAGTAGCTGGGACTACAGACACGTGCCTCCATGACCAGCTAAAATATTACAGCAGGTTTTTTTTTTTTTTTTTTTTTTTTTGGAAGACAGGGTCTCACTCTATCACCCGGGCTGGAGTGCCAGGGGTGCAATCATAGCTCCACTTCCTGAGCTCAGGTGCTCCTTCGTCTGATTCCCAAGCAGCTGGGACTACAGTGCACAGCATCATGCCCAGCTAATTTTTTGTAGAGATGGGGTTTTGCCATTTTGCCCAGGGAGGTCCTGGGCTCAAGCGATCTGCCCACCTTGGCCTCTAATGGTGCTGAGATTACAGGCGTGAGCCACTGCACCCGGCCTTCAGCATTATTTGTAATGGTCATGAGACTGGGAAAAAACTTTATGTCCATCAGTGGGAGATTTGATAAAATAAATTAAGGCACACCTAGAGAATACTCTAAGAAAAAGGGCATTTTTAAAAAATGCTATAAAAATAATCACTTTCACACCAATATAAACAGATCTCCAAGTTGTACTAAGCAGAAAAAGGGAAGGTGTGGAGTAGTGCATATATTAAATACCAGTGAGTTAAACTGTTTTATGTGGGAAGAAGAACATCTATGCGTATCAGTTTTTAAATGCTAAGATGTCTCTAGAAGCTTACATAAGAAACTAAAAACACTTGCCTAGGGTAGGGAATTGGCTGACTAGAGAAAAGGTGTATAATTAAATTTTATTTATTTATTTATTTTGAGACAGAGTCTAGCTCTGTCACCAAGGCTGGAGTGCAATGGCGTGATCTGGGCTCACTGCAACCTTCATCTCCTGGGATCAAGCGATTCTCTTGCCTCAGCCTCCCAAGTAGCTGGGACTACAGGCATGTGCCACCACACCCTGCTAATTTTTCTATTTTTAGTAGGGACAGTGTTTTGCCATGTTGGCCAGGCTGGTCTCAAACTCCTGGCCTGAAGTGATCCACCTACCTCGGCCTCCCAAAGTGCTGGGATTACAGGTGTGAGCCACCACAGCCAGCCATCATTAAATTTTAAATTAAAAACAACAACAAAAAGGCAGTGGCTCATGCTCATAATCCCACTGCTTTAGAAGGCTGAGGCAGAAGGATTGCTTGAAGCCCGGGGTTCAAGACCAGCCTGAAAAACATAATGAGACTCTGTGTCTACAATAAAATAAAATAAATTAGCCAGGGTGGTGTGCACACCTGTAGTCCCAGCTACTGGGGACACTGAGATGGAAGCATCACTTGAGCCCAAAAGTTTAAGGCTACAGTGAGCCAAGATCTTGCCACTGCACTCCAGCCTGGGTGACAGAGCAAGAGCTTGTATGTTAAAAACACAAAACAAAACAAAGAAACAAAAAAACAATGAGATGGGGCTGGAGGAGAAGCTGACGGTATGGTGTGAAAATTCCAATTTTCTAACATATCCCACTAAACTCCTCAGTAGTACTTGTACATACACCTGTCAGAACCTCTGTTTCTGTTCAAATTTAGGCTCCTGGGTTTCAACTTCATACAGAAATAAAAGTATGACTCAAAAAGAAGGGTTGTATCTTACTAAGGTTTCTAGTCACCACAGCACTGAACAATGCCTGGTATCTAGGAGGATCTGCATCTTTGGTTACCTCAGCAAACACTGTGGGAATCTATATATTTATCAACTCTTAACTATACACCTGGCACTGTGATGGTTATGAGGAAAAACCGGCGAAGACCTGGTCGGCCAAATAACTCCAAATGAAGACTCAATATTGAAATGAAGTCACCAAGATGTCCAAAGGGACTGTTGCCATACAAAAGCTTGATAGAACAGGATTCCCAGAAATGTTTCTAAAGTACATTATTATATTTTATCTAATATAAAGAAATATCTGCTTATAAACTTCATCATTTCATATACCATTAAGAGAGAAAAACACCCAAGATATGAGACTAATAGGAAACCGGCATAAAGCTGAAGGTAAATGAAAAATAAGCCTTCCATATGGAAGGGCGAACAAGGAGACTTGTAGGTTTCATTCTTGACACTGAGTGGGAAACAAAAAAAATCCCCTGAGCACTGGTAACAAGCCACCACCAGTGTGGTCCAAAACCCTCAAACAGAGAACGCCAAGTGGTCACAGGCTGGCAGTATACCCAGGTGACCAGCACAAGCAAACATGAATTCTCTCTGGAAAAACACAGGAAATATGGCATTTGTAATCTGTATGAGAAAATTTAGGCATGAAGCTTTACACTCTCTTCCAAACACTAAAAACATTCTTAAAATTTCTCATGGCTCATTTTCCAGTAATATTTTCTACGACTCTGTAAATTATATTATGGCTTAAAGAAAAACGTGACAAATCTAAAGGCTCTCAAATACAGAAGCAAACAGTCAATCATGCTCTATTATCCAAATATATTAATAAAATCTATGCAATTGTTAAGAAATGGTCTCACTTTTTAGCCAAAAAGGAAGAAAGTTTAAGGTGACTCCCTTTCTCTAATTATAAACTTACTTTATTGCTGCCAACTTTTTGGATAGCGTTCCCTCTGCTGGAATCTTTCAAGAGAAAAAAAAAAGTATTAAAGACAGTATTTGAAGTATTACCTCAAATTAATATTTTAAGTGAAGTCTAAGTATCTAACTCCAGTACACTGTGATCAAAAACATTCTAGGGAAATAAACAAATCAGAAACAACTGTCCTAATTTTTTTTTTTTTTTCCTGTTGAGATGGAGTCTCACACTGTCACCCAGGCTGGAGTGCAGTGGCATGATGTCGGCTCATTGCAAGCTCCACCTGCTGGGTTCACAACATTCTCCTGCCTCAGCCTCCTGAGTAGCTGGGACTACAGGCGCCCGCCACCACGCCCGGCTAATTTTTTGTATTTTTAGTAGAGATGCGGTTTCATCAGGTTAGCCAGGATGGTCTCGATCTCCTGACCTCGTGATCCGCCCACCTTGGCCTCCCAAAGTGCTGGGATTACAAACATGAGCCACCACGGCTGGCCAATCATCTTAATGCTATATGAAACGAAGCTCGTGGCTTAGGATAAGTTTTTCCAATGAAACCATCATGCTCAGATTTAACAGGCAGGGACTCAAAAACCCAGACAGAAGTTAAGATACCGGGCTCTCAAATTGCATCAGATGACTCCTACAGGGAGGACTCCAGGAAGAGACACCGACGATGAAAGACACATGAAAAATGTAAGGAAAAGGCCGGGCGCGGTGGCTCACACCTGTAATCCCAGCACTTTGGGAGGCCAAGGCGGGCGGATCACGAGGTCAGGAGGTTGAGACCATCCTGGCTAACACGGTGAAACCCCATCTCTACTAGAAATACAAAAAAATTAGCCAGACGTGGTGGCGGGCGCCTGTAGTCCCAGCTACTCAGGAGGCTGAGGCAGGAGAATGGCGTGAACCCGGGAGGCGGAGCTTGCAGTGAGCCCAGATGGCACCACTGCACTCCAGCCTGGGCGACAGAACGAGACTCCGTCTCAAAAAAAAAAAAAAAAAAAGGAAAAATGTTAAGGAAAAAGAAATGTTTATAAATTAACATTTTATCGTGTATTCTAATAAATTTTTAAATATGTCTAACTGAACTGATGAATAATATAAAAAGACATATCACCTGTATCTCTAAGAGTTTATATATTAGCCAAAAAAATGCATGGTGTCCATCATGCAGGTAAGGGAATCCCCTTTATATTCAGGTTCACTTTATTTCCAGTCATATATAGCCTCCTTTAAGAGTGGATGGGGCAGGTAGGGAAAACTTTATGGAAGAGGCAGAAATACACGTCAACAACTACAGCTGTCGACAACATGCCAAATGCAACCAGGTACTGAGAAGATCAAGGTGAAAAGATACCAACCCTGCAAGTTCACAATCTAGAACATAAATGCCATGTAGGGTAGTTATTATAAATCTTTTCTGGAAAACCTATTTTCTTTCTCAGTAACCTGATAGTTTACATAGTAAAACTATGAAATTTTAACTATTTCTTCTGTTTGCAGTTTATCTTGCTAAAATTGCTAACATAGTCAAACTCTCAAACCTCAAAAAAACAGTACAAGACACAGAAATGGCTAAATGAATAATCAACATGTGAATGACATCATCAAAACACATTTATTGGGTGCCTTCTGTACAGCGTCTACGTCCCGTTATTTGTTTGGTTTTGTTTTATTTTGTTTGTTTTTGAGACAGAATCTCGCTTTGTCGCCCAGGCTGGAGTGCAGTGGCACAATCTCGGCTCACTGCAACTTCCGCCTCTCAGGTTCAAGCGATTCTCCCATCTCAGCCTCCCGAGTAGCTGGGATTACAGGCCCCCGCCACCATGCCCAGCTAGTTTTCGTATTTTTAGTAGAAACGTAGTTTTGCCATGTTGGCCAGGCTGGTCTCGAACTTCTGAACTCAAGTGATCTGCCTTGGCCTCCCAAAGTGCTGGGTTACAGGCATCAACCACTGCACCCGGCCTACATCCTGTCATTAAAGATATTAATACATAAGTACAACATAAGGCAATAAAGTACAGGAATAATGCAGAGGAAAAAATATCACTTAATGATATAAAGTATCGGAAAAGCTTTGAAGAAGGGACATTTTTAGCCACATACTGAAAAATACTTTCATAGGCAAAAATGGTACTTTAAGGAAGGATTCCAGGCAAAACAAATGGACTGGCAAAGGGACAAAGGTGAGAAAACCCACGTGTAGAGGAACACAGGAGAGGCAGGGCCACACTGGAGAACTGCCAAGCTAAGAATTAAGGATGTATTTCACTGACAGAATAATTAACACAATGTACAGGTGCTGGTAACCCAAGAAGAAGTAAGACAGAGTATTTGTAACCACAGCTTACAGTCTGGTGGAGGAGGCAAACGACAATTTCAGTAGAGTGTACTAAGTACTGTAATGAGGGATGGGTGCTGTCAAATGCATAGCAGGGACACACTGGTAGCCTAGAGACTGGGGAGAATCAAGGTAGGCTCCCCAAAGGGGAGAAGGCAATAGCAGGCCCCGTGAGGGGTGTGTGTGTGGCGGCTGGGGGGATGGGGGGAAGGGCGTTTCATTAATGCAAGGCAGGGAAAGAGGTAAGGGTTCCGGGAAGAAGAGCTTCAGGAAGACTGAGTTCACAGTGTTTTGTTGGACAAATTAGAGGAAGACTGAAGGTAAGGAACTACAATAGGCCTCTGCGACTATTCTGACAGGAGGTAATGAGAACTTAGGTAGGACAAGGAAAAAAGAAAGGAATGACTCATATTAGGAAGAAATCACAGTTGAAAAACGGACAGGAGTGGCAAACACTAGCATGGGTGAGCCAATGAAGAGTCAAAGGCAACCACAAAACCTGCAGCCTGGGTGCCACTAAATACCACAGAAAAATCAGTAGGCAGCATAGGGTTGGGGTGAGAATGGATGGAAGTAAGCAGATATATTGAAATCAGGGTCTGGCAAGACACCCACACTAATGCATCAGCCAAAGGTCTAATACAGGGAAATGGAACTCAGAAGGGCAGACAAAAGATATGTGATAAGAGTGGGAAATAAATACCCTGACAGAAATTATGGGCACTGTCAAAGCTTTGGGTAACGTCTACTTCTATAGAAGTGGGCAGTTGTGCCTCCTCTAACATTTGGCAATTCCTGAAGATATTTTCCATTGTGAAAACTGAGGTGCAGGAGGTGCTACCAGCATCTAGTGGGTAAAGACCATGGATGTTACTAAACATCCTATAATACAAAGGGCAGCCTCCAACAACAAAGAATTATCCAGCCCAAAATGTCAACTGTATGGAGGTTGAGAAACTCTATTCCAGAGAATCACATGAGAAAGAGCAATTAGAAACATGAAAAAGGCTAAGTGCAGTGACTCACACCTGTAATCCCAGCACTTTGGGAGGCTGAGGCAGGCGAATCACCTGAGGTCACGAGTTTGAGACCAGTCTGGATAACATGGTGAAACCCTGTCCGGACTAAAAATACAAAAATTAGCCGGGCATGGTAGCGCACACCTGTAATCCCAGCTACTTGGGAGGCTGAGGCATGAGAATTGCTTGAACCCAGGAGGCGAAGGGTGCAGTGAGCTGAGATCGCACCACTGCACTCCAGCCTGGGTGAGACACAGCGAGACTCTGTCTCAAAAAAAAAAATAGAATAAACATTTCCTATATTCTAATATACATTAATTATGTAATAGTGCCCAAAAATGTACACTATGGTACGTCAACTAACTATGCCTATGCAGTTAAAAAAAAAAATCATGTATGGGAAAACCAAATATAAATGATACTTATTTCCTGCTCCAAAGAATGTGGCTATAACTGGTTCAGAGTGCTGAGCTGGTAAAATCCAACTCACTTCTATAAAGTTTTAATATTAAATTGACATAAATTCTTTATCTGTCTGTGCTCAGAGAACAAAGACTGTTTGCAGCAATCATACCCACCTCCCATACTAATGTGTATGATGGGACATAGGAAGAGAATGCCTAGGATTCCAGCAATGATAATCAGTATTAACTTTTCAGTCTATTCTGCTGACACAGTAAATAAGTCACCCATCCACCCTCCAAAGTACATTGCAGGCTTTCATAGCAAGAGTATCATTTTATTAAGTAAACTCAATACATTATTTAAAAAGTTCAAGAGTCAGCAGTAGATAGTAAGAGCAACTCTTTTCTTGGGTTAAATTTGAACCTATTGATTCAAAAGGTTAAAGTGCTTCACCATCTCACTAACAGCAATAAGTTCATCTGATTTAAATGCAATAAATTTTAATATTATGTAATTTTACGGGGGAATGAAACATACCAGAGAACGAAATCGTACAGATTCTATTTGTCCATACTCTTTAAAAAACGACTTCAGCTTCTAAAATTAAAAAAAAAAATACACATTAGCTGACCTTCAGAACATCAAATAAGTGCTACAAAAAGGAATTAAGAAAAATTGTCTGATAATCCTCTACTGCCAGGCTTTTTTTTTTTTTTTTGAGACAGAGTCTTGCACTTTCGCCCAGGCTGGAGTGCAGTGGTGTGATCTCAGCTCACTGCAACCTCCGCCCCCACGGCTTCAAGTGATTCTCATACCTCAGCCTCCCAAGTAGCTGGGATTACAGGCGCCCGCCACCATGCTCAGCTAATTTTCGTATTTTTAGTAGAGACGGGGTTTCGCCATGTTGGCCAGTCTGGTCTCAAACTCCTGACCTCAGGTGATGCAACCACATCAGCCTCTTCAAGTGCTGGGATTACAGGCATGAGCCACCGCACCCGGCCTACTGCCAGTTTTTAAGAACATTTCAGGAAAGTAGGTGACTATTCAGTTGGATGAACAAAAAAATTTTACTGAAACTTGTGAGACTCTGTCTCAAAAAAAAAAAAAGAAAACACAATTCAAGCTCCTATTAGTATCCATCGGATGTATGCTTTTCTTTCAATCTTTTATAACCTTTATCACATGTAAATTAAGGATAGACTTATAACTTCCATAGATTCTCTCATGTTTTCACATTGGTTTAAACCAGGAATAAACTTTTTTTTTTTTTTTTGAGACAGAGTCTCACTCACTGTCACCCAGGCTGGAGTGCGGTGGCACGATCTTGGCTTCTGCAACCTCCCCCTCCTGGGTTCAAGCAATTCTCCTGCCTTAGCCTTCAAAGTAGCTGGGATTACAGGCATGTGTCACCACACCCAGCTAATTTTTGGGACTTTTAGTAGAGAAGCGGTTTCACCATGTTGGCCAAGCTGGTCTCGAACTCCCGACCTCAGGGGATCCGCCCGCCTTGGCCTTCCAGAGTGCTGGGATTACAGGTGTGGGCCACCACGCCTGGCCTCAAAAAGGTTTTTCTACTGTTTTTAATCAAGTAGAGTTTAAACTGTCCTTCAAAATATGAGCAGGATACCGAGCTAAGGATTGCAACAGTTACTATCACATGAACATGCAGAAGCAAAGGGCAGGTTTTGCTTCAGTGATCGTCACACAACGGAAGAAACTCAGGACATCTTCATTCTTTAAACAACACATATTTACTATGCACAAGGCACCATTTCAGGTGTCAAGAGACAGAACGAGGCTGGGTGCGGTTGCTCATGCCTGTAATCCCAGCACTTTGGGAGGCCGAGGCGGACGGATCACAAGGTCAGGAAATCGAGACCATCCTGGCTAGCACAGTGAAACCCCGTCTCTACTAAAAATACAAAAAATTAGCTGGGCGTGGTGGCGGGCGCTTGTAGTCCCAGCTACTCAGGAGGCTGAGGCAGGAGAAGGGTGTGAACCCAGGAGGCGGAGCTTGCAGTGAACAGAGATCGCGCCACTGCACTCCAGCCTGGGCAACAGAGCGAGACTCTGTCTCAAAAAAAAAAAAAGAGAGAGAGAGACAGAATGATGAAAAAAGAGGATCAGGCCCAGTGGCTCATGCTTGAAGTCCCAGCACCTTGGGAGGCTAAGGAGGGCAGATCACTTAAGCCCAGGAGTTTGAGACCAGCCTGGGCAACATAGTCACAAAAAAAAAAACACAAAAATTAGCCAGGCACGGTGGCGTGCGCCTGTAGTCCCAGCTACTCAGGAGGCTGAGGCAGTAAGATCACTTGAGTCCAGGAGTTTGAGGCTGCAGTGAGCAATGATCATGCCACTACACTCCAGCCTAGGTGACAGTGAGAACCTGTCCTGAAAAAGAAAAGAAAAAGGAAAGACATCTTTAAACATATGGAGCTTACTTTCTAGTGGCATATAACAGGAGACAAGGCTGAAAGAAAGAAACCAGGCAGGAGGTCACTGCAATATTCAAATATAATCTGCAAAAGCCTGAATTGGCAGGGACTACAGGAATGAAAAGGAGGGGGTGGATACTGGAATCCATTCATATTAGGATGATTTATGTAATAATTTACAATGAAGTTATATCCATGACTTACTATTGAATGCTTATTCAACACAGGAAGAACAAAGTTATTAACTTCTCTGAACTTTTACCATATACAAACTCACCTTCTTATTACATGTAACAGGCAAATTCCCAACAAACACAGTTCTCTCATTCTTTAATCTCTCTTCTTCTTGGTTGATTTGAATTTTCTTTCTTTGACTGACAACTGTGTCTTCTGTGTCATCAAGTATTTTTCTATCTGCTACTTTAACACCAGGTTGAGAATTTTTCCTTTTCTGCCCTTGTTTCTGGTGAATTTCTTCTTCTAAATCAGCACTCGCTAGAGCGCTTTCCCTTTTTAAGGCAAAAAATAAAATAAGCAGTAAGAGTCATGCCAGTTAGGTCTAGTATTTGACAAAGCACAGCCCTACCCTCCCGACTAGAAATATTTCCCAATGTCTTCTGAATTTTCCTAGATTTACTACTCACAAATATATCAAAATTTTTAGAGCAGCGCTATCTAGAAACTGACTAGTATCTTTAGAAAAAAAATGATTTAACTCAAGATTTAGAAAAAGTTAAGCTCTTTTTTTTTTTCTTTGAGACAGGGTCTTGCTCTGTCACCCAGGCTGGAGTGTAGCAGCGTAATCACAGCTCACTGCAGCCTCAACCTCCCAGGCTCAGGCAATCCTCCCACCTCAGCCTCCCAAGTAACTGGGACCACAGGCGCATGCCCCCACACGTGGCTTTTTTTTTTTTTTTTTGAGACGGAGTTTTGCTCTGTCACCCAGGCTGGAGTGCAATAGTGCAATTTCGGCTCACTGCAACTTCTGCCTCTCGGGTTCAAGCGATTTTCCTGCCACAGCCTCCCAAGTAGCTGGGATTACAGGTGGCTGCCATCATGCCAGGCTAATTTTTGTATTTTTAGTAAAGACGGGGTTTCACCATGTTGGCCAGGCTAGTCTTGAACTCCTGACCTCAAGTTATCTGCCCACCTTGGCCTCCCAAAGTGCTGGGACTAAAGGTGTGAGCCACCATGTCCAGTCTTTTATACATACATATACATATATATATATATATATATATATATATATATATATATATATATACATATATACTTTTTTTTTTTGAGACAGAGTCTAGCTCTGTCTCCCAGACTGGAGTATAGTGGCGCAATCTCGGCTCACTGCAACCTCCGCCTCTCTGGTTCACAACGATTCTTTTGCCTCAGCCTCCCAAGTAGCTGGGATTACAGGCACCTGCCACCAAGCCCAGCTAATTTTTTTTTTTTAGCAGAGACGAGGTTTCACTGTGTTGGCCAGGCTGGTCTCGAACTCCTGACCTCTTGCTCCGCCCGCCTCAGCCTCCCAAAGTGTTGTGATTACAGGCATGAGCCACCGCGCCCAGTCTCCTTTTATATTTTTTTGTAGAGACAGGGTTTTGCTATGTTGCCCAGGCTGGTCTTGAACTCCTAAGCTCAAGCCATTCGCCCACCTCAGCCTCCCAAAGTGCTAGGGTTACAGGCGTGAACCACTGCACCTGGCAAGAATAAGTGAAGCTCAATTTTTGAACACGTTAAATCTGCCATGCAACAGCAGCAGCAAGTTCATCTATACAAAAGCTGATTCACTTAAAGCTCTTGGAGATTTAGTTTACACTCTATCAATGCCTGATTTCATTTTCTACTCTAGACCTTTAGGGGCACTATCACACTCCCTGAGAGTCTAAAAAGGTTAATATGGCAGCAGAGTACTTACTCTGTACAAGCAATATGGCTGATAGGAAAAACCAGATTCCCTACTTCTAATACTTCTGTAATATTTAAAGGACTCTTACCAAAAGTAAATTGTGAAACGGTAAATACAATATAAAGTATTGCTGGATATGGATAAGCAAGGTCTGAGCATCAATCTGAAAGGAGAACTAAAGGATATTAAGGAGTGAGGGAAGAGAAGAGCTAATAAGAATCATAAAAATGACTCACTCATCAGCAAATACTTACCGGGTTCCTACTCAGTTCTAGGCTCTGAGGATACAAAGATAAAGAAACAATCAAAGGCCTCCAACAGTGCAGTGAAGAGACAGACCAAGTTCACAATAAAATGGTAACAGCTATAATACATGGTATGCAAACATAAACGAGAAAGGCTTCTCAGAGGAGGAAATCAGTGTCTGGCACATAGTCCAATAAAAGCTGACTGCTATTACTCCTCCCCTGAGGACAGGGTCCATGTCTAGTGTTTTGCTCACTACAGTATATAAAGTACCTAGCAGGTGTGAAAGGAAACGAGACAGTACAGTAAGGTGGGAACCAGGTCAGGAGAGACCTTCAGTGTTACACGAAAGTGCTTAGATTTTATCCTACTGAAGATGAGGAGACACTGAAGACTTTGAGAGCATCTAAAAAAGATCATCTGGGCAGAAGAGTGGAAGATAATTAGAAAGAGGATAAGGTTGGAGAAGGGAGACCAGTAAGGAGATGGTTACAACAGTGTGTATCTGAGAAGACTGACCAGACTGACCAGAGCAGGGAAGGAGGTGAAGACGAAAAGGCAGATTAAAGAGATAATTAAAAAACAGCATCATCAGGACTCGGCAACTGATTAGCTAAGCAAGGAGAGGAAAGAAGACAGGATGACTCTCGGGCCACTAACTTAGGCAACTAGAAGGCTAGTGGTAGCGCTCATGCCAAGGAACAGGACTGATGAGAATGATGAGCTCCCAGTGGAGCATTCTTACCTGGTGGTACATATGGAATAAAGAGGTGCAAATGCCAGGAGGCAAACAAACATACATGTCTGGAGATCAGGAGAGAGATCACGGTGGGCACAAGAGATACTGCCCCCAACAAAGGGTGACAAAGGGTCACAAGAACATGACCAAGAATGAGACCCCTGAGGGAAATGCACATTTAAAGAGTAGTCAGAGGAAAAGATACCACAGTAACACTAAGAAAGAATTGGCAAGAGGACAATCAGAAGAGATTTCTCTCAGAGAATCCGGTAGCTTCAACAAGAAAAGCAGCCACGTGAAAGGTAACAGAGGACTCATAAGACAAAAGCTGCACTGCCCATTACATATGAGAGGTCAGGGTGGCCTCAGTGGGCACTGCTTCAGTGGCACAGTCAGGACGGAGAATAAAACCCACCACCACCAGAATCCAAGTGCGTGGAAGGGTGAACAGATCAAGAGAAGGGAGAGAGTACAAGAACAGACTACTTTTCTTAAAAGCTAGACTGAAGGGAAGGACTGTGGGAATGGTAGCAAACAGAGACATGCAATTACATGGGTTTTTTTTTTTGGCGGTTAGGGGGAATGTCCTTTTTAAAGATTAGAATCGTGAGCACGTCTATATTAGCAGAAAGAGGGATAAGGGCCAGGCGCGGTGGCTCACGCCTGTAATCCCAGCACTTTGGGAGGCCAAGGCGGGTGGATCACCTGAGGTCAGGAGTTCAAGGCCAGCCTGGCCAACATGGTGAAACCCCATCTCTACCAAAAAAATACAAAAATTAGCTGGGTGTGGTGGTGGGCGCCTGTAATCCCAGCTACTCAGGAGGCTGAGGCAGGAGAATCGCTTGAACCCAGAGGCGGAGGTTGCAGTGAGCAAAAATTGCACTGTTGCTCTCCAGCCTGGGCGACAACAGTGAAACGCCATCTCAAAACAAAAAAAAAAAACAAAAAAAAACGAGGGATAAGGGAAAGAGGCGAACGTGGATGGATCTGACGGCACAGTCCCTAAAAAGGCAGAACATATGTGGTACACACAGCACCCAGGTGGTTGAGTTAATCTTGGACAAGAGGGAAGACACTCTGCTCTAAGAAAGAGGGGAAGAAATATGGCTGTGTACAGATGCATTAAGTTTAAATAGGACAAAAAGTAGCAGTTCCCAACTGTCAGTGATTAACAGCTCCAGAACTGGTACAAAGGTCTTCAGTTGAAATGAGAAAAGGGAAAAGGAAATAAGGGGCTTGAGGAGAGTGGCAAAGAAGAGAGGAATGAAGACTGTTAGCTAGGTACACGTGATGGGATCACTATTTGCATCTTGATTCAAATACACTGTTAAACAACGTTATGCTGGCCGGGCATGGTGGGTCATGCCTGTAATCCTAGCACTTGGGGAGACGGAGGTAGGAGGATGGTTTGAGCCCAGGAGTTCAGGACTAGCCTGGGCAACATAGCAAGACCCTGTTTCTATTTTTTTACTAAAAAAAAAAAAAAAATGCTGACTGGATCACTTGAGTCCAGCAGTTTGCGACCAGCCTGGGCAACATGGCAAAATCCCGTCTCTACAAAACATACAAAAATTAGCTGGGCATGGTGGGGCATGCCTATAGTCTAAGCAACACAGGAGGCTGAGGTGGGCGGCTGGATTGAGTCTGGGAAGCAAAGATTGCAGTGAGCCGCAATCGCACCACTGCACTCCAACCTGGGTGACAGAGCCAGACCTTGTCTCAAAAAAAAAAAAAAAAAGTTAATGAGGGAAATGAATAAATTTAAGAACACCAAACTCGGCCAGGTGTGATGGCTCACGTATGTAATCCCAGCACCTTGGGAGGCGGAGGCAAGTGGATCATGAGGTCAAGAGTTCGAGACCAGACTGGTCAATATGGTGACACCCCGTCTCTACTAAGAATACAAAAATCAGCTGGGTGTGATGGCGCGCCCATAGTCCCAGCTGCTCAGTAGGCTGAGGCAGAAGAATCACTTGAACCCAGGAGGCGGAGGTTGCAGTGAGTCAAGATTGCGCCACTGCACTCCAGCCTTGGCGACAGAGTGAGACTCCAGCTCAAAAAAAAAAAAAAAAATTTTTTTTTTAAAAAGCAAACCAGGCCAGGTGCAGTGGCTCATGCCTATAATCCCTGCACTTTAGGAGGCTGAGGTGGGTGGATCACCTGAGGTCAGGAGTTCAAGACCAACCTGGCCAACATGATGAAACTCTGTCTCTACTAAAAACACAAAAAATTAACCGGGCATGGTGGCACCTGTAATCTCAGCTCCACGGGAGGCCTGAGGCAGGAAAAATCACTTAAACCCGGGAGGTGGAGGTTGCAGTGAGCTGAGATCAGGCCACTGCACTCCAGTCTGGACAAAAAGAGCAAAACTCCGTCTCAAAAAAAAAAAAAGAAACGCAAACCAAATTCTTTTATATACATGCTGAAATATTTATAGATGAAACATAAATTTTCATTTTGCTTCCAAATAATGAGGTGGTAGCTGGGCGAGGTGGCTCACACCTGTAATCTCAACACTTTCGGAGGCCGAGGTGGGCAGATCGCTTGAGGTCAGGAGTTCCAGACCTGCCTGGCCAACATGGTGAAACCCTGTCTCCACTAAAAATACAAAAATTAGCTGGGCATGGTGACGCAGGCCTGTAGTCCCACCTACTCAGGGCCGAGGCAGGAGAATCGCTTGAACCTGGGAAGCGGAGGTTGCAGTGAGCTGAGATCACTGCACTCTACTGCAGCCTGGGCGTGGCATCAAGACTCCATCTCAAAACAAACAAAAACAAATAATGAGGGGGTATATGAGTGGGGTAAAAATACAAAAAGGTTAGCCAAATATTAGTAATTGCTGATGCTGAGTACACGGGGTTTCTTAGCCTTTTCAACTTTTCTATATGTACTGGATTTTCCATAATAAAAGTTTTGAAAGAAAGTAGAAATATGAAATAAAACTGACGAATATTCCAAGTATAGGAATGTTAATTTACCATCTAATTTCTTTAACATCAAATAAGAGAATTTTACCAACCTGTCTGCCAACTTTTTTTCTGCGTTAGTGTGTTTCTTCTTCGCTTTCACTTTTTTGGCAGGTTCTTGCGAAAGTGGTCTTTCAATCTGGGATGTACTTTCTTCCTCCTCATTCCGTTTCGTTTTTTTGATGGTTTGCTTTTTAAAAGTTTGAAGTTATATTTGAGACCCCATACTTCTAGAATTCTGACCCTAAGCCATAATTCAGTCTTTCTAAATGAGAATCTCTTCTCTCTCACTGGTATGTAAGAGTCATGAAAGGTTACTTAAAATGAATCCTGTCTGCCCCCTTTAGAAATCACGCTTCACGCGGTAGGTAAGAAGATTGCTTTGTATGTAAGTGGTTCTAACGAGCTATTCGGGAAGAAAGCCCAGTGACTTACTTTAGGCACAGGCACGTACACGGGTTGAATCTGGGGCTCCAGAGAACTGAAGAGGGACGCCAGCCGACCGGTGCCACCTCTGGAATGGTGTTCGCCGCGAAATAAGCTACTGGCGACCTGTCCAAGCCTGTAGTCTTCCGGCGGACTCCCGCGAACGCCGTCGTCAGGATTCTCTCTAGAAATGGACGACAGAAACTCAGCCACGCCACGCACCACCGCTTCGCCAGCACGAGGGAACGTACAACATCCCTCCCCAGGTACTCGTGCCGCGCGCCACTCACCCCTCCTGGACACTTCTCTTTCTCTTCCGTTTGCTCATCCCTTCCAAGGCCATTCTTACTCCAAAGACTCCCAGACTGCAGCTGCGCGCCAGCTCGCACTTCCGGGTTCCGGGCACTTCCGCTCTCTGGCCACGCCCCCTCCCCTCCGGCAGTCGGCCGCCGGGCGGCGGCGAAGGGAGGCGCTGGGTGAGGGAGCAGGTTTGTCGCCGTCGGTTGGTGGTCCTCGCCGTTTCAGAAAAGCCTCATTTTGGGAGTGAAGGACGTCTTCTGGGAGTGGTTGAAGCCTGCAGTGTGAAGAATCAGCCAGGCTAGGAGCGGGGTGTCCACCCAAGCCGAGAGAGAAACACGTAGAATACTGACTTGTTGAAAAGGAGGGAGGGAGGTTTGGCAAGAAATGCGGTTAGGGGTGAACGCAGTGGGGTGTTTACAATTTGCTAATCGCTGTGAAGAGTACAAAGGAATTCTTTGTACTCTTCTTGCAACTTGTCTGAAACATGACATTATTCCAAAATAAAAACCACAACTCTAACGAGTCACGTCAACATACAATTCGAAAGATTGTAATGCGGACCTGCTATTCTACCTGGAAAAGTAGATACTTGGCATTCAAAACGCTTCAAGGTGTTCTCAGCCCGTCTTCCCAGACTCATCTCCCTCCAGCCCCTGACATTCTAGCCTGCTTTCTCCACTGCCTCTACAGTTGTTATTCCTGTCCCCTCTGTTGTAATTGCCCTCCTCTTTCCCCTTCTGCAAAATAATGTCCATCCTTCAAGGCCTACCTCAGATACTGTCTAACTTAGTATTTCTTTGCAGCCAGGTGCGGTGGCTCGCCTGTAATCCTAACACATTTGGAGGCCGAAGTGGGAGGATTGCGTGAGGACTAGGAGTTTGAACCAGCCTGGTCGATCTAGCGAGACTTATTCTCTACAGAAAAGAAATTAGACGGGCACCTTCGCGCTCGGCGCCTGTAGTCCCAGCACTTTGAGAGGCTCGGGCAAGAGGATCCCTTGAGCCCTGGAAGGTCGAGGCTGCAGTAAGCTGTGATCGCATCACTACACTCCAGCCTAAGCGGCAGACCCTGGCTCAAAAAAAAAAAAAAAAAAATTCTTTGCTATTTACAATAGGGATATTTTCCCAAGCCCCCATGGTACTTACTATAATCATTTTTGGTCTGCTTTAGTGTTAGTTACAGTCTCTTTAGATGTAAAGGCAAGACAGTAAGGATTATGTTTTATTCATCATGTATGCTGTGTCTCTATTAGCTGTACATAGTGAATATTTGTTAAATTGACTCTCAGGGTAATAAAAGATTACTAGTTAAATCATCCAATAGTTTGAGTGGCAAAATAGGATTTGACTTTGTTCTTATTTTCTTTCAGACAAGGTGTTGCTCTGTCACCCAGACTGGAGTGTAGTGGTGAGATCACGGCGCACTGCAGCCTTGACTTCCTGGGCTCAAGCCATCCTCCCACCACGGAGTAGCTGGAACTGCAAGCAGCAGCACCATGCCCAGCTAATTTTTTTTTTTTTTTTGGAGACAGAGTCTCGCTCTGTCGCCCAGGCTGGACTGCAGTGGCGCGATCTCAGCTCACTGCAACCTCCGCCTCCCGGGTTCAAGTGAGTCTCCTGCCTCAGCCTCCCAAGTAGCTGGGATTACAGGTGCATGCCACCATGCCCAGCTAATTTTTGTATTTTTTTAGTAGAGACCGGGTTTCACCATGTTAGCCAGGCTGGTCTCGAACCCCTGACCTTGTGATCCGCCCACCTCAGCCTCCCAAAGTGCTGGGAGTACAGGTGTGAGCCACCGCGCCTGGCCTTTTTTTTTTTTTTTTTTTTTAAATAGAGATTGGGGTTTCACTGTGTTTCCCAGGCCGGTCTTGAACTCCTGAGCTTGAGCAGTCCTCCTGCCTTGGCCTCCCAAAGGGTTGGAATTACAGGCGTGAGCCACTGCATCCAGCCAGGATTTGACTTTGAGTCTTTTGGGGACAGCCTAAGCTTTTTGAAAGCTACTCAACCAAGTTGACTGGGAATATATGTGACTTTTACTTCCCCCTTCAGAGAAATTTATGAAAAAAATCCACAATATTCAACTGCTCGGCCCTGGGTTTTGATTACTGGGCCCCTTATTTTGGTTTCCCATAATCTTGATCTTCTGGTATTTCACAAAGATGAAGAAAGCTTATCCATACATGCATGCGATACAACTCAAAAATCTGTTCTATCCAGTCCAGTGAAGAAATTATATTCTATATTTCTAGAATTATAGAATTCTATTCTGTGTATTTTTTGAGACGGAGTTTCACTCTTGTTGCCCAGGCTGGAGTGCAGTGGCACGATCTTGGCTCATTGCAACCTCCGCCTCCCAGGTTCAAGCGATTCTCCTGCCTCAGCCTCCCGAGTAGTTGGGATTACAGGCATGCACCACCATGCCTGGCTAATTTTATATTTTTAATAGAGACAGGGTTTCTCCATGTTGGTCGGGCTGGTCTCGAACTCCTGACCTCAGGTGATCCGCTCGCCTTGACCTCCCAACGTGCTGGGATTACAGGTATGACCCACTGTGCCCAGCTAGGTAGCAGATACTTATAGAAGAAAACAGACTGCGAAAGCAGCTGTGGTTGCAGATAGTTTTAAAATTATCTTCATTGCTGTTCAGTGCTGTTTTTAACCATTTAGAGATCACTTACTGCTTTGAGAGTTTTTTAAAATATGAGGACATGGTGGGACAAGGTGGCTCACGCCTATAATCCCAGCACTTTGGGAGACCAAGACGGAAGGAATGCAAGCCCAGGAGTTTCAGATCAGCGACTGCGCCATTTGCACTCCAGCCTGGGCAACAAGAGCGAAACTCCGTCTCAAAAAAACAAAAGGAGGCCGGGTGCGGTGGCTTACGCCTGTAATCCCAGCGCTTTGGGAGGCCGAGGTGGGTGGATCATCTGAGGTCAGAAGTTTGAGATCAGCCTGGCCAACATGGTGAAACCCCATCTCTACTAAAAATACAAAAATTAGCTAGGCATGGTGGCGGGCGCCTGTAATCCCAGCTAGTCGGGAGGCTGATGCAGGAGAACCACTTGAACCCGGGAGGCAGAGGTTGCAGTGAGCCAAGATGGCGCCATTATACTCCAGCCTGGGCGACAGAGCGAGATTCTGTCTAAAACAAAACAAAACAAACAAAAAAAAGAAATTAACAAGACCCCACTCTAAAGTTTTTTCAGTAGGAAAAAAAACGTTTTGGAGAACACCGTTAAGAAACGTATCATCTTGGGTGGGCGCGGTGGCTCATGCCTGTAATCCCAACACTTTGTGAGGTCAAGGCGGGCAGATTACGAGGTCAGGAGATCGAGACCATCCTGACTAACACGGTGAAACACCCCTCTCTACTAAAAATACAAAAAATTAGCTGGGTGCAGTGGCACGTGCCTGTAGTCCCAGCTACTCGGGAGGCTGAAGTAGGAGGATCACTTGAACCTGGGAGGCAGAAGTTGCAGTGAGCCAAGATTGCACCACTGCACTCCAGCCTGGGGCAACAGAGTGAGACTCCGTCTCAAAAAAAGAAAAAAAAGAAAAGAAAAACATACCATCTTAATATGTCAATTGTAAACTAACTTAGTAAAGTCTAGTTTAGGTGACCAGAAGTAGACATAGGTCAATTCTACTAATTCAATAAAATCCTCAAACCCTCTTAAGAAGGTAGGACGTAGAACAAGAAGGCAGGCGAGACAGAGAGGCACAAAGTCATAAATCTCGACTCCACCAAAATTTGGAATAATTCCCCTATTCAGCACTGTTTCTATAACATACTCAGTATGTGATATTAAGAGCTCCTCAAAAAACAGGGTTTCATGATTAGGTGGGATTGAAAACAGTAGGGTAAAGGAAGTTATTAGGCAGGTATCTCTTCACAGGCCTTCTCAAAGTTTTTAATATGCAAACACTGTGATTCTCTAAGAATGTGCTATACATAGATTTTCCAAAATATATTTGGTTATAAATTCCCAGAGCATTTCCAGGGACCAGTATTCTAGGAATTCATTTTGGGAAGCACCGTTCCACAGATTTAAAATATCATCCCTTAAACTAATTTTTGTGAAAATAAAGGGCCACCACAAAGATGCTTTAAAAAATATGTATTTAAGCTTTCTAGGCCTTAAAAAAGTTGATTTCCTTTCTCGTTTTTGTTTTTGTTTTTGTTTTTTTTTGAGACGGAGTTTCAATCTTGTTTCCCAGGCTGGAGTGCAATCTTGGCTCACTGCAACCTCCGCCTCCCAGGTTCAAGCGATTCTCCTGCCTCAGCCTCCCTAGTAGCTGGGATTACAGGCATGCGCCACCATGACCGGCTAATTTTGCATTTTTAGTAGAGACAGGGTTTCACCATGTTGGTCAGGCTGGTTTCGAACTCCTGACCTCAGGTGATCCACCCACCTCAACCTCCCAAAGTGCTGGGATTACAGGCATTAAGCCACCACGCCCGGCCTCTCTCTGTATTAAAGAAAGGTTTTCTTTTTTTTGAGGCGGAGTCTCGCTCTGTTGCCCAGGCTGGAGTGCAGTGGCACGATCTCGGCTTACTGCAAGCTCCGCCCCCCAGGTTCATGCCATTCTCCTGCCTCAACCTCTCGAGTAGCTGGGACTACAGGCGCCCACTACCACGCTTGGCTAATTTTTTTTTTGTATATTTAGTAGAGATACGGTTTCCCCATGTTGGCCAGGATGGTCTCGATCTCTTGACCTCGTGATCCGCCTGCCTCGGCCTCCCAAAGTGCTAGGATTACAGGCGTTGAGCCACTGCGCCCAGCCAAGAAAGGTTTTCTGTTGGTAGAAAGTCCAATAAGTGGGGCCAAAAAACTAGATTATAGATTTTTAGAAGTTTGCGGCAAAGCAGTGTTTCTCAACCCAGATGCATATTAATATCACTAGAGACCTTTAAAAATTAAAGATCAACATCCAGGTACTACCCCCAACCAATTAAATATAACTCCTTGGGAGTGGGGTGTGAGTACTGAATATACTTTTAACAATGTCCAGATGATTGCAATGTGCAATAGAACACACTGAAGTATAAAAGACCCGGAAAGGTCTAACTAAATTAAAAATTTTAAAAAGCCGCTGGTAATGGTTTCAAGTGTTAAATAAATTTTAAAAAAAACACTTAATTTTCAAATTTGGACAATTCTTCAAGTGATAAGAAAAATATTTAAATTCAGACTCAAGCAAAATAGTGTGTGCAAAGATAAAAGAATGCCTAGGCTGGGTGTGTTGGCTCCCGCCTGTAATCCCAGCACATTGGGAGGCCAAGGTGGGTGGATCACATGAGGTCAGGAGTTTGAGACCAGCCTGACCAGTACGGTGAAACCCCGTCTCTGCTAAAAATACAAAAATTAGCCAGGAGTGCTGGCAGATGTCTATAATCCCAGCTACTCGGAAGGCTGAAGCTGGAGAATTGCTTGAACCCGGGAGATAGAGGTTGCAGTGAGCTGGAGATTGCGCCACTGCACTCTAGCCTGGGTGACAGAGCAAGACTCCGTGTCCAAAAAAAAAAAAAAAAAAAAGAATGCCTAATACATTCCTTATCTGATTAATGGACTTTTAATTTTCATAGGTAGAATCTTCCTTTTTTTGTGTATCAATTAATCCCCTGTGATAATACGTGCTGGATATGTATGTTCCAGTCAGTCATCACATACAGAAATGAACTAAAATTACTAAATCTTTTAGAAACAAAAATCAAGGATTCACAAACTATGGCATTTTATTTCAGAGCCTTTGCTTACATTTGTACAATATATTACATAATTCTTCATTGTTTGCAGATCCTAATATATACTTTATAGCTTTTATTCTATAAGCTTTTTTCTTCAACATTTTGCTGTCAACAAATCTTTACAGTCCTGTACAAATTTGAATAACTTGAAACCATTTTCAACAAAATTAGTTACTGTAAGCACACACTACAAGACTGAAAATGCTTTTCTTAGAAAAGTTGAATGTAAAGGATTCTGACACGTTAGCATCTACAACAAAACGCATTGAAATTCCCACGTCGTATTGCCAGGAAACAAAGAAAACATGCCAGCCCCATCCAAAAAAAGTACACAGAACTACAATTAAAACAGTAAAACAGTCTGTACAATAAAGTACTGTGTATTAACAGTGCCAGATATTAAATAGCTTGAATGAACACATCCACAATATACAAATGTCTTACAAAGGTGAAGAATTAAATACAAGTGCCAAACAGAACAGAGATTGGAATCATACAACATAAAGTCAATACAAGTGAAAACAATTTTGCATTCATTTTGGATTTTATACAAGGCATTTAATTTTATAGGCCTACCACCCCCATTAGCTATTTATATTTAAAATAACCACCATCCTTTTGAGACAGTTCCTATCAACAATCTTGAACCATACTAATACATTACTTGTTCCTGAAGTCCTTTTGTTGTAGCTCATAATAAAATAAGCAATACAAATGAATTATCTGTATTTAAGGGAAAAGAAACATTTACAAGAAAACACAAAAATATAACTGTTATAATTCATTATGAATAAATATACACTTTGAACTGGCTAAGTACAATCTTTATACATTGTTTAAGATTTAATACAGTTTATTAGCCATTTTCTTTTTTCACACAATGTATATCAAAATTAAAAAAAAATACTGATTTATAGAAAAATGGCAAAGTACAGTAGTTCCATTCCAATTTGAAGGGCCATGAAAAGCCACTGCAAGACCTTTTAGCCTAATTCAAACCTGTAAACATGTTCAGTCTTTTTTAAAGAGAATCTTTAATATTTGGTTACCAGGATTGATGTCTAATATCCTGTTAACTGCAGGTTTTGAATTTATTACATGTGCTTGACTTATACAATTAAAGCCACCCTAAGGTGACTTGCTTTAAAAAACAATTACCTTGTACAAATGAAAATAGGTTCATATTTTTTCATAAATAAATGGAAAAATATCAAATGTTCCAGCTTTAACAAAATACAAGGGAATACATATACAGTAAGTTATCTTAACATGTTCTGACCCACCCCTTAACTATGCTTACTGTATTGTCTCTACAGGCAGTGAAAAGCCTCCATTTGCCACAGTGGAAGGCCTTCCAGTTACCAGACACACAATTCCCAGACAAGTTGGAAACAATTATTGCTTGAGGAAAAGCAGTTCATTGTACTTTTTCTTCATAAAAAAGTGCACTTAAGTGCCAAGTCAGCTTGTCAAGAAACAATTTTTAAATATAAAATAGTGCTTGTCTGATATTTTTTTGTGCCACTGTGCAGTATAAAAAAAAAGTGGCCCTCAACAGCCATTAAGTGCAAAGTGCTTTAGCAAGTCCTGCTGTCACCTGCACTCAACTGACATTCCATTTTGTGATGCGCTGGACATTGACGGTTCAGCTAAAGTTAACATAACAGCAGCTGTTATGGAACTGGATGAAGGTGAAGAGGAGGATGAGGATGTAGCAGCACCTAAGGAAAAGGGAGACCAAACCAAGAGCTTAATAAAAATTTATGTCTAACAATAGACAGAAAATACTAGTCCTCTGAACTAAAATTCCGCTATATTGTCCAAAATCATTTAGCTTACAACAACAGTGGTCAATTCTCACAGTTCTACGATGTGAAGAAAGGAAAAGCTAGTGTAGCTCAAGAAGCTAGACAGTGCCCAACTACAGAAGTAATGAAAAGGACAGACCAGGGAAGGCTCCTGCGTGGGTCAAAGAGGGAAAGAACTGTGCCTAGTCTACAAGACACAGAAATAAAATACAGAATACACTTTTTGTAACAGTGAAACAAGTATCAAAACAGGAAAAATCTGCAATCCATCCAAAAATCATTTGTCCCCTCCTAATCCCTCCATCTTTCTGTACTTAGGAGTTTTCTTGTACATGTAAATGGTGACAAGAGTGGGAGGCTTAATTGCTTCTTCAAGTTGGATCAAAACAGTGCATAGCTCAACTGTTGCATTCTCCGCCACTAGGTTTACAAAGCAAATAACACATTAGTTATTTTCATCAGAGGAAGTCTCTCACTGTTTCCTTTTTTCGTTTTTTTTTGTTTGTTTGTTTTTTGAGACAAAGTCTCGCTCTGTCTGTCGCCCAGGCTGGAGTGCAGTGGCTCGATCTTGGCTCACTAAAAGTTCTGCCTCCTGAGTTCACGCCATTCTCCTGCCTCAGCCCCCCCAGTAGCTGGGACTATAAGCGCCCGCCACCACGCCCGGCTAATTTTTTTGTATTTTTAGTAGAGATGGGGTTTCACCATGTTAGCCAGGATGGTCTCGATCTCCTGACCTCATGATCCGCCCATCTCAGCCTCCCAAAATGCCGGGATTACAGGTGTGAGCCACCGCGCCCAGCCTGTTTGTTTTTTTGAGACGGAGTCTCACTCTGTCGCCCAGGCTGGAGTGCAGTGGTGCGATCTCGGCTCACTGCAAGCTCCGCCTTCCAGGTTCACGCCATTCTCCTGCCTCAGCCTCCTTTTTTTTTTTTTTCCTTTGAGATGGGGGTCTTGCTCTGTTGCCCAGGCTGGACTGCAGCAGTGCAATCTCAGCTCACTGCAACCTTTGCCTCCTGGGTTCAAGCAATTTTCCTGTCTCAGCCTCCTGAGTATCTGGGATTACAGGCATGCGCCACCATGTCCGGCTAATGTTTCTATTTTTAGTAGAGATGGGGTTTCGTCATGTTGGCCAGTCTGGTCTCGAACTCCTGACCTCAGGTGATCTGCCTGCCTTGGCTTCCCTAAGTGCTGGAATTACAGGCGTGAGCAATTGCGCCCGGCCTCTCTGTTATAAATTAGTGTTCATAAATTAATATTTTTAAATACATGCACAGATTTAAAAAATTCATTCAGTACAGGGGTAATAGGATAGAAAAGCAAATCTCACTCTCATCCAGGAACCTCCTAATCACCCAAATTCCCTTCCCCATTGCTACCAGTTGATTCATATTCATTACAACTCTAGAAAAAAGGCTGGCAAAAAAACTACCCCAGGGGCAAATCTGGCTTACTTGTCTTTGGAAAGAAAAATTGTACTGGAACACAGCCATGCCTATTTGTTTACATATTGCCTATGGGAGTTTTCACACTTACCATGGCAGAGATAAGTAGTTTCTACAGAGACCACATGGCCCACAAAGCCTAACATATTTATTGTCTCTTTACAGAAAATGTTTGCAACCCCTGTTCTACAGGAATTTTATCTCTAGAATCTAGAGATATGATATGCAAATTTAAAATATATAGATATAGCAACACCTTTAAAAACATAAGTGGAGGCCGGGCACGGTGGCTCACACCTGTAATCCCAGCACTTTGGGAGGACTAGGTGGGCGGATCACAAGGTCAGGAGATCGAGACCATCCTGGCTAACACAATGAAACTCAGTCTCTACTAAAAATACAAAAAATTAGCCAGATGTGGTGGTGGGCGCCTGTAGTCCCAGCTACTAGAGAGGCTGAGGCAGGAGAATGGCGTGAACCCGGGAGGCGGAGCTTGCAGTGAGCCAAGATTGCACCACTACACTCCAGCCTGGATGACAGAGAGATACTCTGTCTCAAAAATTAATAATAATATTACAAAAATTAGCTGGGCATGGCGGCACGCACCTGTAGTCCTAGCTACCCGGGAGGCTGAGGCAGGAGAATCGCTTGAACCGGAAGGCAGAGGTTGCAGTGAGCCAAGATCGCGCCACTGCACTCCAGCCTGGTGACTGACCGAGACTCCGTCTCAAAAAAAAAAAAAAAAAAAAAAAACCACACACACACAAGTGGAAGCATAGTTCAGTGTCTGACTTTTTTTTAAACAATATATTTTAAGAGATTGTTCCATATCAGTACATACAGATCCTTTTCTTTTCAAAGTTGAGTAATATTCTACTATATTACAACTCATAACTTATATATTTCACTACACTGTTCCTGCATTGGTTTTAGTTTTAATTTTTTTGGTAAGAATGATACCTTATTTGGGCCAGTCGCAGTGGCTCATGCCTGTAATCCCAGCACTTTGGGAGACTGAAGCAGGCGGATCACGAAGTCAAGAGATCGAGCCATCCTGCATCCTGGCCAACATGGTGAAACCCCATCTCTACTAAAAATAAAAAATTAGCTGGGCGTGGCAGCACGCTTGTAATCCCAGCCACTCGGGAGACTGAGGCAGGATAATCGCTTGAACTCAGGAGGCGGAGGTTGTAGTGAGCTGAGATCGCGCCACTGCACTCCAGCCTGGGCGACAGAGCAAAACTCCATCTCCAAAAAAAAAGAATGATACCTTATTTGATTTGCATTTCTTTGGTAACCAGGATAAGCATTTTCCTATGGATTTTTCTTAAAATAGTATTTAGGAACCGACTTTTAATGCTAACCCAGTAGAGAGGCTCTATTTAGCAAAATCATTCATTATAAAGAATTTGTGGTGACTATATTTACAAAACATTGTTTAGAAGGAGTTTCTGGATAGATGTCTTTTTTTTTTTGAGACAGAGTTTAGCTCTTGTTGCCCAGGCTGGAGTGCAATGGCATGATCTCCGTTCACTGCAACATCTGCCTCCTGGGTTTAAGCAATTCTCCTGCGTCGGCCTCCCAAGTAGCTGGGATTACAGGCACCCGCCACCGCGCACAGCTAATTTTTTGTATTTTTTAGTAGAGACGGGGTTTCACTATGTTGGCCAAGCTGGTCTCGACCTCCTGACCTCAGGCAATCCACCCACCGCAGCCTCCCAAAGTGCTGGGATTACAGGCATGAGCCACTGTGCCCGGCCTCCTCCCAGATTTTAATTTATCTCACTTCCTCATGTCATTCAGGTATCAACAAAAATATACTGACCATTTGTAATCTAAAGTAACCCATCCAATCACTACCTTAACATCATTTTCTTCATAGTGCTTTCAATATCTGAAATTATCTTATTAGGATGTTTTTGGTAGAGTATAAACTCTATGAAAGTGAATATTATGATCTGAAATAATTTTTTTATTTGAGATAATTTCACTTTAGAGATGAGGAAAATAAGATAAAGAAATTAAAGAATTTGCCTGAAAATAGACAAAGTCATGGCAGTCTAACTGCAGAGTGAGAAATTCTGGTTTATGTTTAAATAAAGTAAAAATACTGGCAGGGCACTCTTGGCTCACGCCTGTAATCTTAGCACTTTGGGAGGCCAAGACAGGTAGATCACCTGAGGTCAGGAGTTAGAGACCAGCCTGATTGACATGGCGAAACCCTGTCTCTACCTAAAAAATACAAAATTAGCCGGGCTTGGTGGTGCATGCCTGTAATTCCAGCTACTTAGGAAGCTGAGGTAGGAGAACTGTTTGAACCCAGGAGGTGGAGGTTGCAGTGAGCCGAGATTGCGCCATTGCACTCCAGCCTGGCGACAAGAGTGAAACTCTGTCTCAAAATAAATAAATAAATAAAAATAAAGTAAAAATACTTACTTTCTCTCTCTTTCTTCTTTAAACGCTTTCTCCTCCGATCAATGGAAGCTACTTCAGATTTTAATGACAGATAATGTTTTCTGATTTCTTGAAGTTTTTCTTGAAGAATTGTGATGCGTTCGGCACTTGTCATATTTTCCAGGTCCGCTATAAATTTAAAGCTTTCATTAACAGACATTTTTAAAGAAAATTTTAACATACAAAAAGGAGAGAACATCGAGCATGGCTGCTGAATAAGGTTGAGGCAGATGAACTAAAAAACTAAGGCTTCTGAAATATTTGTTTTCCAAATTTTTTATCTAGCCTAGAACAATGCCTGGCACATAATAAATGCACAGTATTTGTTGAATGAATATGTACAGCATTAAACACCTTAAGATCTACATATATCCACATCCATATACAGTATTACCACAGTAAAAAATCACACTTAAAAATAAAACTGGGGCTGGGCACGGTGGCTCACACCTGTAATCCTAGCACTTTGGGAGGCCGAGGTGGGCGGATCACGAGGTCAGGAGTTCGATACCAGCCTGGCCAAGATGGTGAAACCCTGTCTCTACTAAAACTACAAAAATTAGCTGGGCATGGTGGCGGGTGCCTGCAATCCCAGCTACTCGGGAGGCTGGGGCAGGATAATCGCTTGAATCTGGAAGGTGGAGGTTGGAGTGAGCCGAGATTGTGCCACTGCACGCTAGCCTGGGCAACAGAGTGAGACTCTGTCTAAAAATAACAAAAACACAAAAACAAAACAAAACAAAAAACCTGGAAAGACACCAAAATGCTAAATTGTACACATTTTGTGAGTAACAAGACTGTGGATAAATTTTTCTCTTCTGTTCTCTGTTATTTTTTAGGTTTTTTTAAAGAGTGTGTAAAAATTTAAATTAGAAGGCAATTTTAAAAAGCTCTAAAGCAATCTTCAATCTCCTAAGAATACTTAAGGTATTTCCTTGTGTGAAAAACTCTAGAGTAGTATTAAAAAAATATACATATTGGCTGGGTGTGGTGGCTCACACCTGTAATCCTAGCACTTTGGGAAGTAGAGGTGGAAGGATCAGCTCAGTCTTGAGCTCAGGAGTTCAAGATTAGCCTGGGCAACATAATGAGACCTCGTCTCTATTTAAAAAAAAAAAAAAAAAAAAAAAAAAAAAATATATATATATATATATATATATATATATATATATATATATGTATACCTAAAACATATATATATATACCTTTTTTTAAATGAAGATTTATGAAGATTTCTCACATATACAAAAGTATAGAGAGAAGGATAGTGAACCCCATGTACTCATTATCCAGCTTCAGTAATCATCAATTTATGGCAAAACCTGTATCATCTGCACCCCTATCCATTCCTCACCCCTAACACCAGATACTTTTAAATCAAATTACCGACATCATATCAGAAGTATCTTTTTTTTTTTTTCTGGGATGGGGTCTCACTCTGTCGCCCAGGCTGGAGTGCAGTGGCGCAACCTCGGCTCACTGCAACCTCCACCTGCCAGGTGCAAGCAATTCTCCTGCCTCAGCCTCCTGAGTAGCTGGGACTACAAGCGCGTGCCACCACGCGCAGCTAATTTTTTGTTTTATTAGTAGAGACAGGGTTTCACCATGCTGGTCAGGCTGGTCTCGAACTCCTGACCTCGTGATCCACCCACCTCAGCCTCCCAAAGTGCTGGGATTACAGGCATGAGCCACTGCGCCCAGCCATATCAGAAATATCTAGTCAGTGTTGGCATTTGCCTCAACTGCCTTAAAATTTTTCTTTAACCAATTTATTTATTCAAACCGGGATCCAAATAAGGTCTATACATTGTACATTAGTACATCTATTAAGTTTGGTAAAGCCTCTTTTTCAGAGTATTGGCATGAAGAGTTACTAGGATTGGGGCTGGGCATGGTGGCTCATGCCCAAAATCCCAGCACTTTGCGAGGCAGAGGCGGATGGATCACCTGAGGTCAGGAGTTCAAGGCCAGCCTGGCCAACATGGTGAAACCCCATGTCTACTAAAAATACAACAACAACAAAAAAATTAGCCAGGTGTGGTGGTGGGCGTCTGTAATCCCAACTACTCGGGAGGTTGAGGCAGGAGAATCATTTGAACCAGGGAGATGGAGGTTGCAGTGAGCAGAGACTATGCCACTGCACTGCACTCTAGCCTGGGCGACAGAGAGACTCTGTCTCAAAAAAAAAGGCCAGGCGCAGTGGCTCATGCCTGTAATCCCAGCACTTTGGGAGGCCGAGGCGGGCGGATCATGAGGTCAGGAGATGGAGACCATCCTGGCCAACATGGTGAAACCCTGTCTCTACTAAACACACAAAAAAATTAGCTGGGTGTGGTGGCGCGTGCCTGTAATCCCAGCTACTTGGGAGGCTGAGGCAGGAGGATGGCTTGAACCCAGGAGGCTGAAGATTACAGTGAGCCAAGATCGCACCACCGCACTCCAGCCTGGTGACAGAGCGAGACTCTGTCTCTAAAAACAAAAACAAAATAAAACAAAAAGAGTTACTAGGATGAAGTTTGTATGCTTGTCAATTTAACATGTCACTTACACATCTGAAAACTCCATTTGTAAACTTTGGGTAATCGATTACTGGGTTCCTTGAGATCAGGATCCTTATCACCATTCTTTCCACATTTTCCTGGAGACTGCGTCCTTGCGGGAGATTTGGTACTATGAGACTTCATTCCAGTGGAAACTGATTTGACTGGCTGACTCTTAGTTATACTTTCACCAGCTGAAAGTTCTTCACTATCACTACTATTTGCTGAAAGAGAAAGAAAAGATTTAATAAACAAAAATGTAACAATAAATTTGTCACAGATTTTAGTAGGTAATTTAAAATTAGCCATTTGAATTTAGTCCTACAGAAAACAACCTGCCTAGAAACCTGGAAAATCATATACAAATGCAGCAGCATCTTAGGAAAAGCAAAAACAAAAAATTCTTCTTACCTGAACTGCCAATAATATGTATACTTTTAAAATCACTCACACTAATCTATCATTATGCTTGGTAGACTGTCAAATATACAGTAATCATCTGAATGGCTTTTTACTCTATTATGTTAATACATAAAATATATCATCTTTTAAAATGATTAATTGTAGAAACCTCTACAATGAATATGTAACATTGGGTATATGCAACATTTTCCTGCTCCTTTGGCCACAAACAAATAATGATGCACAATCATCATATTCAATAAAGAACTCCTCGGGAATAAACTCTGAAGTTTGATATGTATAATGAAATTACTCTTAAATAACTCCTATGCTGTGGGTTGACTAAAATAATCAGTTTCACCCTAATAAAATATTCAGTATTTTATGAACAATTCAGAAGTCTGTGTAACAATTATGTTACAACTGCTATTGCTAATTAAACTTCAGCACTAAAATGGAAATACTTGACCTTGACAGCTTACCATGTGAACAGGTAGGTGATGGGATTAGTATTTCCATAGATAACCTCTTTCTGGATACAAAGTATTAGTTTAGATTCCATCAGAATTAATTCATGTTACTAAATTATTCTCTTGAATGGTTAACTCATTCTGATTTACCATGGCAGAATCCCAATAAGTAAAATGGGAGAACACTATATCTCTGTATTATATGAATATACTAAATAACTCATTGAAGATGCGCTCTCTTAGGAAATGTCATTTAAATAGTAAACTCTTGAAGACAAAAACATCACAGTGAAAGAAAAAACACTTTAAATATCCTACCAGTTACACCAAACAATTGATGACTGACTGATTTGGCATATATTTACTGATTTTTCACTTAACAACATCACCAAAAAAAAAAAAAAAAAAAAAAAAAAAAAAAGGAGTTAAACTCTCAAAGCCAGAAATTATTCCAAATAGTAAAGGTAGATAGCAGCAACTCCTCCCACTGTGAAATTTTGGGAATAAAGAAACTCCACCACTGGTTGACACATATACACAAATTCCCTCCCAGCTCCCCCACTGCTGCTCTGGAACCCCTGGCAACTCCTAGCTAAGCCACCCAAGGCTTGGCCCCACTCTATGCAGTGGACTGTCTCAGCCTGGCTTTCATGGCCTTGCTGAGCACAGCCGCCCGGGGCCCCAGGGACGCCATATTCACCGCCTGGAAGTCATATGGGCTCAGCAGAACCTCGGGGAGCTGGCCGAATAACCCTTTTCTGCACTGAAGTGCAGCCAAGCCGGCTGCTAGCAAAGGTCAGGCAGTGGAGGTGGCAGGAGTCTCCTGGAAGAGCAGCAGGAGGTCAGTGTGGGGCACCTGAAAAAAAATTCTTTACATATTTTCTGCTTCTTACTTTGTCTACAAAAGAGAGATAAAATGTGCAGCCCTCAGAAGAAATACAGTATATATATTTTCTGTGGATTGATGCACGGAGTCGTTGCTAAAGTTGGAGCATACTTAGCAAAAAGTATTGTTTGTAGTTACTCTCAGGTCACATAATATAGAGTACCAAAGACAAATGTTGTAGACTGGAGTTGTTGGAATTATAGTTCTAAAGTTATCTTGATTGTTATACTTCTATGCTGATTTTGCCTTGAAGAATTACTAAGCAATCAATTTCACTGTAATAAAAATAACATGTAGTTGAAATATTTCACAATGTGTGATACATTTTATAGCAAGTGAAAAGAACTGTGGAATACAAAGGTAACAAATATGTTGATGTTTATAATATATTGGCTATTATTTCAAAAACAGATTACTTGATTTTTCATCAGCAATCAATACCACCGCTGAATAACACCAACTTGCTTAAAACTAGAATTTACCTAAGATTAGAAAACCTGTGTTTTTTTTGTTTTGTTTTGTTTGTTTTTGCAGAAATTCTTTTTTCTTTTTATTATTATACTTTAAGTTCTAGGGTACGTGTGCACAATGTGCAGGTTTGTTACATAGGTATACATGTGCCATGTTGGTTTGCTGCACCCATCAACTCATCATTTACATTAGGTATTTGTCCTAGTGCATGTTTTTTTTTTGTCTATTTTGTTTTTTAAAGCAAGTAGCCTTACAGAATTTGTGTGACTTTTTTTGAGTGTACAGACAAAATCAAAATAGTGTACTATCCCATACCCTGAATACCATTTTCTTACTGGGGGTAAAATTATCAGCTATTATTTTTATATTTTAAAAATTAGAGATTTCACACTTACTGCCTTTTCCCTTCTTTTTGTTGTTTACCACTGTTGCTTTATGGCTTCTTTTCTGCTTTTTTGATGAACTTCCTCCTCCCTGAGCATCTTTCACTCTTTTCTGACCTGTACAGGCTATGAAGGGAAAGGAATTAAGTAACACAAAATAAAATCCAACATTCCCTAAGTATAAATTAATTCCACATTTTAGAAACATAGAACAATCCAAAACTACATGTTCTTTATGACATTTATAAGTTGTCACAGAACTTACTACAATTTTTAAATAAACTGTCATTAATGGAAGCTCAATTCTTATACATAATAAAAGTCAGGGTTTTTAAAAAGGCAAACAAAGTATGCACATCCTTCTTTAAAAAAATCAGATATAAACTGAAAATAGTCCTTAATATAGTACTGGGAGTTTATAAGCCTAGTAATTAAAAGTATATGCTGAAAATAAAAACTGAAATTTGTTAAGATTCAATAAAACCAAAATATTAAGACTTAATCACAGGTTAAAATGTTAATGACATTATGTCTTATAATCATATTAATATAATTTTTAAATGATATAAATGAGGTAAATTTTAGCAGTAATTCATACTTGGTTCTTTTTTACCAATTTATGTCAAGAATAACTAAGCTCCCAGGGCACTGTTTGGTTAACATGCATACCATTTACAAATCCAACATAGTAGTTCTAAAAAACGTCTCATCTTCTTGGTGGGAAATTATTGCAAAACATTACAAATAAATGTCTCCCTTTTCTTCAAGGACTAGCCCAAGTCCTACATCTTCACTAAGATGTTCCAGGCTTCACTGATCAATCACTACTCTGAACTGTAGCATTTTTCTATACTACTCATTTGGTCCTTAACATCTGCTATATTTCTGTCTAATTCATATATGTTATCTCTCAGACTATATAAAGTAAGATTTTTTCTCCAGAGACTAATAAAGTACTATCTCCATTCAGTTCCAATGTCAGACACCAAATCAACCTTCTGTGTATAAAACCTAACTTCCTTGATCAAAAACAGGACAAGTAATTAACTGTCTGCAACTTCCTAGCTTTTTTTTAATGGGTCATATAATCTTACTTACAACTTTTCCTAATACCTTTTTAAATTTTTAATATTTCTTTTTTATTTTTTACACCAAGTATGTGACCCACCTAATGTCATTTTAATATCACAATTTAAGTGAAACATAAAGGAGACGTAGATATTGACCATACTGAAGCACAGAACCATAATTGTCAGGTTTCTCTCCAAGAGAGTTTAATTCTAAAGTGTTCAGATACTAAGAAATAAAAACCTTCAATGTAGAGTAAATTAAGAGGAAAAAACTACATCTAAATAGTAAAACTTAAATTTTAACTTGTGATATAGTGGGGAGTCTCCAATATTCATAGTAAGTAAATTTATTAAAATGTGGCCATGTGAAACAGGTGCTTAAGAACCTATTTCTGGCTGGGCGCGGTGGCTCATGCCTGTAATTCCAGCACTTTGGGAGGCCAAGGTAGGTGGATTACCTGAGGTCAGGAGTTCGTAGACCAGCCTGGCCAACATGGCGAAACCCCATCTCTACTAAACAAAATACAAAAATTAGCCGGGCGTTAATCCCAGATACTCAGCAGGCTGAGGCAGGAGAATCTCTTGAACCTGAGAGGTGGAGGTTGCAGTGAACCAAGATTGCACCACTGCACTCCAGCCTGGGCAACAAGAGCAAAACTCTATGTCTCAAAAAAAAAAAAAAAAAAAAAAAAAAAACCCAACAAAAAGAAAAACACCAATTATTTCTAAAGAGATATAAATTACCCTAAATTTAGGAGTAGCTTTCAAATTCCACAATTATTAACCTAGTCAAGATTAAGATTCAAAAGGGCAGTGTTGACTTAGTCTATTAGCAGAGAAGATATCCTCTTTTTTTTTGTTGTTAATTTTAATCTTTTGTAAGATATTACGAACATAATAAGGATACAACCTCTTAAAAACTACAACAATAGGCTAGGCACGGTGGCTCATGCCTGTAATCCTAGCACTTTGGGAGGCCAAGGCAGGCAGATCATGAGGTCAAGAGATAGAGACCATCCTGGCTAACATGGCGAAATGCCATCTCTACTAAAAATACAAAAAATTAGCTGGGCATGGTGGCACACGCCTGTAGTCCCAGCTACTCAGCAGGCTGAGGCAGGGGAATCACTTGAACCCAGGAGACGGAGGTTGCAGTGAGCCCAGATCACACCACTGCACTCCAGCCTGGGCAACAGAGCGAGACTCCATCTCAAAAAAAAAACCCCCAAGAAAACCTATAACAATAAAACCTGTTTTTTTCTTTCTTTTCTTGTTTTTTCTTTTTTTTTTTTTTTTTTTTTTGAGACAGGGTCTTGTTTTATCACCCAGGCTGGAGTGCAGTGGCGTGATCTTGGCTCACTGCAGCCTTTCCGGGATCAAGTGATTCTCCCTCATCAGCCCCCAAGGTAGCTGGGACTACAGGCATGCGCCACCACAGCTGGCTGACGTTTGTATTTTTGGTAGAGATGGGGTTTTGCCATGTTGTCCAGGCTGGTCTTGAACTCCTGGACTCAAGCGATCCACCGCCTTGACCTCCCAGACCTCCCAAATTGCTGGGATTACAGGTGTGAGTGACCACACCTGGCCAGTAAAATCTTACTGTTGAAAGCCTAATATTCTGAAATAAAGGATTCTTTCATTTTGAAGATTAGTCATGCCTGGATAGTTCAGTTGCATGAGATAGTATGGCACAGATAAAATCATAGTAGTTATACTTGTAAATGTGAAAAAAAGCAAAGAACATTTCAATTTAATTGCAAGTATTTTTTTAATTTATTTTAAAACAGAAATGTTTTAAGTCAAGATTCCTGAGAAAACATAGAATTAACTAATTTGATCTAGACCATATCTCTTTAAGCTTTGCTGAAAACCTAAAGCTAGCATTCTAAAATCTTTTACGGTATATAAAAAACATACTCCAGTGCTCTGTCTTTACGATGGAAAAGTGTGTTCCAAAGCCAGGTGTCAGCCTAGAGTATACTGATTTAAAGATACCTGAATGAAGTGGTTTATAAGAAAAATGATGACAGAAGTATGGCTATGGCACCATCGAAAGGCACTAATACTTTGGGAAGGTACCGATTTGAATTTCCACTTTTAACAATTTCACGGAAAATCAAAAAAGTATTACTGTAGGTTATTAACGTACACATTGGTCCTTCAATTTGGAAGCTATGCATCTAAGAAAGCATCAAATTCCTTTACAAACTCACACAAGTTAGTCAGGCTTGAAAATCAGTTTGACACGGTTGTCTGAGGAAAGCAGTGCCTGGACAGTTGGTTGCTCCAAACCCCTACATACAGTATTTGGTTAAGGGTGGAGGGGTCTGTCAATAAATCAAAATGTTCGTGAGAAACTGCACATTACAATTGCAAAAACAATGTTACAGAAATAGATTTAAGCTGCTCATGCCATATAGTCAACCACTGCATATAATGAATTCTCAAACAGGTTTGGATTTGGGCCTGGGTGCAATTTCTAGCATGTGTTCTGGTCCACAATAAAATGCCATGGATGGCTCAAGCAAAGCACATTAAAGCCTTCTCAAGCTTTTAAATGCATTCCACTATTCATTTTCAAATTACCTTTAAAATTTCCATTTTTACCATGTTCACACAAATATGACACTTAATCGCCTCAGGTTATAACAAGAGATACTGTGAAATCATTGAAACTTTAAGAGGGGAAACCCTAAAATAAGTCAACATACACATTTTCCTTCTCACCTTTTTCAGGATGTTCTGGTTCTGGCTGATTACTACTGCTTGAGCTCACACTGGCATCAAAACCTGCTGGCGAGCTATTCCCTTCAGACTGGAGGTCTTGGAGCTCCCCAGCAACACTATCCACCTCAATTGTGCTATCAGTTTCACTCTTGATACTTCGAACCTCTTCTTGGTTTGGAGCCAGTGGTTCTGATACTGTTACAGAAGACTGCTGCCGGCTGCCTTCTGTTACAGTGACTGATGAAGGCGATTCAGGTGTAGTAGGAGGGGTATTTAGCACTGAATTACTGCCACTACTTGGAAATTCTGCTTTTCTGTCATTGACCTCTACTGTTTTTTCTTCAATGGGTTTACTATCGACATTGACTGGAGGTGGTTTTTCTAGTTCTACACTGGGTGAACAACTCTCCTCTTCAGCCACAGTCTGCAGTGACTCCTCTGCCACCCCCTCCTCTGGGGCAGGATGCGGTGGGGAAGCTGCAGCCTCAGTATCAGAGTCTGAAAAAAGCTCTTTCAGCGTTTTTTTAGGCCACTGTCCCTGAATACTTGACCAGACATCTTTTCGATCTTTGGCCCTGCTGTTTTGAAGTCTTTCATCAGAGTTATTTAAAAGTTTAATCCTTTTTTCTGCCACTTCTGAAAATCCTGAATAGAAACCAGTTGTCCGTAGAGATTTTCTTTTTTCCTCCAAACCATTGTATTTCTTAGTTGGTGTCATCTTTGCTTTTGTTTCTTCTTCATCTTCATCTGAAGAGCTGTTGCTACTGTTTTCCATGCAAAGTGATTCTTTGTTCTTGGCCTTCTCTTCCTTTTTGCCAGGTGATCCAGTTTTTAGACACTCTTCTGTATTGCAATACCTTCTTTTACCACGTTTTATTTGTGGTTTTGAAGATTTATCTGTTGTGTCCTTCTTGACATCCTTTCTCTTTTTTGTGACTTCATCTTCTTCATAATCAGTATCTTCGGATAATACTTCTATATCTTTCCTTAATCTTTCTGGAGATTTTGACACTGGTTTGGATATTACCAAATCTGCATGAACTTTGTTTTCTTCTAGCAAAGATGAACTGTTCTGTTCCTCCTTTGAAATAAGATCATTTCTGTTGTTGGTCAAATGATCAATCTTAGATTCCTCTTTGCCATTATTATCCATGTCTTGAGCACCTCTCTCATCTTCCTGCTCACTGTCTTCAGCAGAACTTTCAGAAGCTAGAAAATAACAGAAAAAAAAATGATGAGTATGATAAGAACACTAGCAATGTCTTCTATGTGCCAGGGACTGTATATATTAGGTCCTGTGTATACAGCCACCCGAGGTTGCTGGCTTTTATCTCTATGTAACATGCAAAGAAACTGGGTTTCAAAGAGGCTAAGAGGCTCTTCCAATGATGGAAATGTTCTATTACGATCACGGTGATGGTTGTAACACTGTATACTTTTGTCAAAACCCATCACATTTTAAACATAAAAGTCATCACTTTTATGTAAACTGTACCTTAATAAAGCTGAAATAAAAAAGAAAAAAGCTTCTCCAAGTTTATATAAGTATAATATTTTTATCATAATATATCTGAGAAAATAGTGGAGTCAGGATATAATCCCAGATTGTGCTACCTCCAAGTTAATATTCTTCTTTTTTTTTTTTTGAGTCTCACTTTGTCATCCAAGCTAAAAGTGTAAGTGGCGTGATGTCGGCTCACAGCAAGCTCTGCCTCCTGGGTTCACGCCATTCTCCTGCCTCAGCCTCCTGAGCAGCTGGGACTACAGGCGCCCACCACCACGCCCGGCTAATTTTTTGTATTTTTAGTAGACACGGGGTTTCACTGTGTTAGCCAGGATGGTCTTGATCTCCTGACCTCGTGACCCGCCCTCCTCGGCCTCCCAAAGTGCTGGGATTACAGGCGTGAGCCACCACGCCTGGCCCCAAGTTTATACTCTTATGAAACTATAGCCTTCATTTTTCTTTTCATCAGAGACGGTCTCACTCTCTCATCCAAGCTGGAGTGCAGTGGCACAATCACAGTGCACTTCAGCCTCAAACTCCTAGGCTCAAGAGATCCTCCCACCTCAGATTCCTGAGTAGCTGGGATCACAGGAGCAAGCTACTGCACCTGGCCTCTCATTTTTCTTTCCTTTGTTTTGTTTTGTTTTATTTTCTTTCCCTCCCTGCCTCCCTTCCTTTCTCTTTCCTTTCTCTTTCTTTATTTCTCTCTCTCTCTCTATTTTTTTCTGAGACAGGGTCTTACTCTGTTCCCCAGGCACTATCATGGCTCACTGCAGCCTCAACCTCCTGGGCTCAAATGATCCTCCCACCTCAGCCACCCAAGTAGCTGGGACTACAGGTGTGCCACATCCAGTGAATTTTTGTATTTTTTGTAGAGACAGGGTCTCGTCATGTTGCCAAGGCTGGTCTTGAACTCCTGAGCTCTAGCAACCTGCCTACCTCAGCCTTCCAAAGTGCTGAGATTAAAGGCATGAGCCACCACACCTGGCCAGCTTCATTTTTCAATGTAATAATGAATATCCAATAATTTTGTAATCAATGATTTCCATGATGTTTTAAAGAATAGATATAATTAATTTTAGTTACTGATAACTTATGTAAAATTAATTATGGAACTTACTGCTTCAGTGTGTTCATTCTGGTAAATCATTTTATTGTTATTTTAAGATAACATTTCCTGAGAACTTACTACATGCTGGTTACTTTTGATACACTTTGAACAGACCATCTCATTCAATCCTCAGAACAATGCTACGAGATACATGTTATCAGCCCCACTTTATAGTTCAAGAGACTAGGGTCTTAAATAAATAAGAAAAACAAACAAACAAAAAGCAACACAACAAAACAAAGCAAAAAAAAAGGGACTGGGGTTTAGAGGTTAATCTACCCCCCAAGGTAGTTAAATCTAAGTCATTTAACTCCAGAACTTACAACCTTAACTATAGCTCTCTACTGAGAAATCCATGCATGTTCTTTAGCTAAATTCATTAAATGTAAAACATAACTGACATAACTAAGATTGTGAAACCATTTCACCTTTACAATGTGTGTCTGCATGGCCACATTTTTTAAATTATCAAAACAATACATATACATCATTAAAAACAAATCTAGACTCATAATGAAAAACCAAAAAGAGGATAAAAATCTGTTTTTCCACCTCCAAAGTGTTAACATCTGATAGTTATAGTCATCTCTTACTATTCATAATATACTATTTGTTTTATTTATTTTTTTGTGTGTGTGACGGAATCTCACTCTGTCACCCAGGCTGGAGTACAGTGGTGTGATCTCAGTTCACTGCAACCTCCTCTTCCTGGATTCAAGCAATTCTCCTGCCTCGGCCTCCCAAGCAGCTGGGACTACAGGCACATGCCACCATGCCCAGCTAATTTTTGTATTTTTAGTAGAGATGAAGTTTCATCATTTTAGACAGGCTGATCTCGAACTCTTGACCCCAAGTGATCTGCTCATCTCAGCCTCCCAAAGCACTGGGATTATAGGCATGAGCCAACGTCCCTGGCCTGCTGACTTATTTATAAAGTTTATCCTCTATGAGCAATGGGGATTCTTACTTATCAACACCCATATCTCCCCTCTACCATCCTTTCTATATATAGTTATCTTTCATTTTTACAATATAGTATTTATAACATATGTAAATGTGGTTCCCTGCAGAAATAAGTAGTACATTTGATAAACTTCCTTTCTTATACAGCATTTTATTTTTCCAAGAGTTTCCAACTACTTTTCTGCATGTTACATCTTCCTTTGTATCTCTTTTACATTATTTTATTTCATTAAATTAAGCGTTGTATCCAATTTCCCCTTATTCATCCTATCTCTGCACCCTAGAGAGCTATTTTCTGCAGTAGCATCTGGGTGGTATCTCTCTGGGTCTGCTCTAACAGCTGTCATCCGGGGAATCCTCCTCACTGCTTTCTTTTGAGCTAGGTCCACTGTTAACTGAATCTCACATCTTCTTCTTCCTTGGTTATCTCATCTGTACTAGAGCTCATCGAGTAGTTTCCTTAAAAAGGTACATGGGATATAAATATTCATCGTCCTTACTTATCTGAATACATCCTTACCCTCAAACTTCATTGATTGAGAGTTTCACGAGGTACAGAATTCTAGGTTAAAAATTGTTTCCTTCAGAGTTCTGAATCCTTCCGAATGTATTGCTTCTTTGCTTAAGGGGTTATAAGCCATAACCTTCCTTTGGTTTCTCATTCCTTTGTGGTGATTTTTTCATTCTTGATATTTTATAATTTCATAATGATGTACTACGGTATGACTCTATTAATTTATTCGGTACCTAGTGAGCAATTTCAATGTAAAGATTTGTGTCTGTCAGTTCTGGAATTTTTCTTTAGTTATTTGCTTTTTTTTTTTTTGAGACTGAGTCTTGCTCTGTCATCAGGTTGGAGTGCAGTGGTGCAATCTCAGTTCACTGCAACCTCCACCTCCCAGGTTCAAGTGATTCCCCTGCCTCAGCCTCCTGAGTAGCTGGGACTACAGGTGCATGCCACCACACCCAGCTAATTTTTGTACTTTAGTAGAGACAGGGTTTCACCGTGTTAGCCAGGATGGTCTTGATTTCCTGACCTCGTGATCCGCCCACCTCAGCCTCCCAAAGTGCAGGGATTATAGGCGTGAGCCACCGCGCCTGGCCTCTCTCCTCTGTTTTCATAGTTCCCCCTTCCTAGATTAATACATTATGTAACCTATCTTTTCTCTAAAATTTCCATCACTGCTCTTTTAAACTTTCTGAAGATTTCCTCCATTTAAAATTCTTAATGCTCTACTGAATTTGCTTATTTTTTTTTTTTTTTAAGAGACAGAGTCTCGCTCTGTTGCCCAGGCTGGAGTGCGCTGGCAAGATCTCAGTTCACTACAACCTCCACCTCCCGGGTTCAGGCAATTCTCCTGTCTCGGCCTCCCCAATAGCTGGGACTACAGGCACACGCCAAGCTAATTTTTGTATTTTTAGCAGAGATGGGGTTTCACCCTATTGGTCAGGCTGGTCTCAAACTCCTGACCTCAGATGATCCACCTGCCTCGGCCTCCCAAAGTGCTGGGATTACAGGTGTGAGCCACTGTGCCCAGCTCTACTGAATTTTAATTTAGATTTTTTGTTTTTGTTTTTTTTGAGACAGGGTCTCTCTCTGTTGCCCAGACTGGAGTGCAGTGGTGCAGGTTCAAGCAATTCTCATGCTTCTGCCTCCTGAGCAGCTGGGATTATAGGCACCAACCACCACATTCGGCTAATTTTAATATTTTTATTAGAGACACGGTTTTACCATGTTGGTTAGGCTGGTCTCGAACTCCTGACCTCAAGTGATCTGCCCACCTTGGCCTCCCAAAGTGCTGGGATTACAGGCATGAGCCACTGTGCCTGGCCTTTAGATTTTTATCTCCAAGTCTTTCTTGTTCTTTTCTTTTTCACTGCATCTTATTCTTTTCTTTTTCACTGCATCTTATTCTTTTTTTTTTTTTTTTTTTTGTAGACGGAGTTTCACTCCTGTTACCCAGGCTGGAGCGCAATGGCGTGATCTCAGCTCACCGCAACCTCCGCCTCGTGGGTTCAAGTGATTCTCCTGCCTCAGCCTCCCAAGCAGCTGGAACTACAGGCATGTGCCACCACACCCGGCTAACTGTTTTCTATTTTCAGTAGAGACGAGGTTTCTCCCTGTTGGTCAGGCTGGTCTTGAACTCCCGACCTCAGGTGATCCGCCTACCTTGGCCTCCCAAAATGCTGGAATTACAGGTGTGAGCCACCGTGCCCAGCTTATTCTTGTTTTATAGATACTGTAGGTTCTCTGAGATTAACAAGAGATGATTAAGAATGCCCTATTAAAACTTGATTGACACTACTGTTAGTAGGATTTATTAACTGATAGGCTTTACGTGATTCATCCCGGATCTAGTTTACTCTAGGGGATTTCCACTGCCAGAATGTAGAAGATTATTCTCCAGAGACATTCAATTTCTCCACAGAACTCCAACTACCACTGTACCTCTAGTTTTATTCCCAACCCATCTCAGGACAAGAGGATAGAATCTTAGCTGTCTGTGTTCTCTACTCACAAGGGGCATCAAATTTTTATGTATACATATACATACACATATGCATTCATATGATGATCATTAATTAACTGGAAATATTTGAAATGTCTTCAATTTGATCTGTGGCCAAAGATAAAAAATAAAATTCACTGAAAAAAGAAAATATGAAGAGAATACTTAAAATGTTAAAAGTATGCAAATATGATACTCATTGTTGAACTAACAGGAAAAATATGGGAAAGGATCAAAATGTCTTTTTTTAGCAACTAATTAAATAAATTATGATATATCTATTCAGTAGATGTGGATGTGCCGATTTGGAAAGATTTATAAGTTATACCACTAAGTAGGGGAAAAAAAGAGTTTGTAATATGTTAATGATCCCATCTGTAAAAAGACTGCACACATGTGAGTGTCTATTACACATATAGGATAAATATGTGTGTGGGGGGGTTTGGGGTCATTGTATATGTGTTATATGTATGTGTGTGTGTATATATACTCATATGTCATATATATGGTATATAAATGCAATTTCTGAAATAATATAAACCTATAAAAATGGGGGAAAATACGAAAGAAAAGCAACACAATTTGCAAGTCAGAAAGCAGATAAATGAATGACGGGCACCAAAGAAGGCTAAACCTCATACCAGCAGTGAGGAAAGCCAAAAACCAACCCAGTTTACCATAGAAACCTCAATAATTACTGACTGCCCTAGTGCCTATGAAAATTAAAAAGGGCAGTGGGGAGCCTCATACAAGGAGCACTGGGTGAAGACTAAAAATTACTTAGATGCCTAGATCCCCACCTCACTTCAGGTTGGAAGGTGACTGCCCTTCTAGAGCTTTATTCTCTGAAGACAGTAGGAGAGGGCTCCTAGCCTGGGAGATGCTAACAACTGTTGAAGGCACAGGTACAGATGCGATGCTGAAATTAGGGGGATTCATGAACATATCTAACCACTAAGAATCCTCCACCCCACTCTCTGTTCTTCAACTAGATCCTAGAACACTGGAAACCATTCTCTTACCACCCTCCAGTCAAGAGATTGGAACTCTTTTCTCTGGAAGCCAACTAGTCTAAGAGAAAAAGACCTAAAGACTTCATATTATGAATTCCCTAGGACATGGCCAACCAGATCACCCGATAGTGAAACTCAAGGTCAACAAGTGCCAACCATATGCTTGCAATTTCCAAATCAGTTTAGTCTTTCCTTCATAATCATAAGACAGCCAGGAAAAAAAATTCTTAATAGGGAAGAGCTCAAAACAACAACACAGAAAAAAGCAAATTAGAGGTAACTGAAAAAACCAAAAATTATAAAATCCTTTGAAAGATCAAAATCCGAAAGGTAAGGTATTGCATCCATCTATAAGAACAGAGTGGTACAAAACACACAGAAAACAGAGCTCTTGAAAAATTAAACTAGTTTAATTTAAAAATATTCATTGAAAGGCTGGGCGCAGTGGCTCACGCCTATAATCCCAGCACTGTGGGAGGCTGAGGCAGGTGGATCACAAGGTCAGGAGTTCAAGACCAGCCTGGCCAAGATGGTGAAACCCCATCTCTACTAAAAATACAAAAAATTAGCTGGGTGCGGTGGCAGGCGCCTGTAATACCAGCTACTCGGGAGGCTGAGGCAGGAGAATCGCTTGAACTTGGAGGGCAGAGATTGCAGTGAGCCGAGATCATGCCACTGCACTCCAGCCTAGGCAACAGAGTGAGACTCAGTCTCAAAAAAAAAAAAAAAAAAAAAAAAATCATTGAAAACTTAAACATTACAGCAAAAAGTCAACAAAAGGATTAAAAGACAAAGCAGATAAAATTTCAAAGAAATAAAAAGACAAAAAAATTAATAAAAAGCAAGAAATTAAAAGGTGAGCATATTAGAGTATATTACAGAAGGTATAATATCAAATAATGGCTGGCCAAAGAAAGATAACAGCCAAGTGCAGTGTCATGCACCTATACCCCAGCTACCCAACTACTTGGGAGGCTGAGGCAGGAGGACTGCTTGAGCCCAGAAGTGTGAGAACAGCCTGGGCTGAACATAGTGAAACACAGTCTCAATTAAAGAAAAAAAAAAATTTGGCAGGGCTGGGACAGTAGCTCATGCCTGTAATCCTAGCACTTTGGGAGGCTGAGACAGGAAAATCGCTTGAGCTCAGAAGTTTGAGACCAGCCTGGGCAATATAGTAACACCTCATCTCAAAAATAGTAACAATGAACAAAAATTAAAAAGGAGAGAACAGTAAAATGCAGGAGAGGAAATCATCAAGAAAATCATTCAAAAAAACTGCCTAGAACAGAAAGACAGAAGTTGCTAGAATGAAAGAGTCTAGCAAGTAGGCATCACAGGGGATGAAAATATATCTACACAAGGCTAAAGAAAGAGAACAGCCAAGTGTACTGTGGATATATCTGTTCTCTTCCTTTGGCCTTGTGTAGATATATTTCAGAGTTAAATTTCTGGATACGAAAAACAAAGATTCAAGATTCCTAGCAGGGCATGGTGGCTCATGCCAGTAATCCCAGCACTTTGGGAGGCTGAGGTGAGTGGATCACTTGAGGTCAGCAGTTCGAGACCAGCCTGGCCAAAATGGCAAAACCCCATCTCTACTAAAAATAGAAAAACTAGCCAGGCGTGGTGGCAGGCCCCTGCAATCCCACCTACTCGGGAGGCTGAGGCAGGAGAAACACTTGAACCCAGGAGGCAGAGGCTGCAGTAAGCCAAAATTGTGCCACTGCACTCCAGCTTGGCCAACAGAGTGAGATTCCATCTCAAAAAAAGAAAAGAAAAAAAAAAGATTCCAGAGACAGAAAAGCAAAAAATAAAGAATAAAACAAGTCACATACAAAGAATCAGGAATTGGAAGAGCTCTGGACTTCACAAAAGCAATACTGGAAGCAAAAAAACAATTCAACACTGCCAATAAAATACTGAAGGAAAAACTTCCAATCCAGCCAAACTATGAATAGAATAAAGATATTTGCAAAAATAAATACAGATATTTAAATGCAGCCAATCTCTAAAAATTCCATCTCATGCACTTGTTCTTTAGAAGCTACTAGAGAATGTGCTCCACCAAAATGAAAGTATGGGGGTGGGGAGGAACCTGAGATGCCAAAAACAAAGAAATCCAAGAACTACATTAAAGGAGATCCCTAGAATGGGATCTCCCTAGGAAAATAGCTGTGCAACAGATATAGAGGGAAACCAGTCCAGACTACAGCAGTGTTATTTCCAAAGAAAGTCATACTGCAGGCTATTATCATTAAGCTACCTGCTACCGCCTCTCTGTAGTCTTTGAATGCCTGAGTGACCCAGACTGGATTTTAAAATCTGTATTTATCTTGTTTCAACTATGTGTCAATGAAATTCCAGCTCTCCCTTCCATGTCTTATGTGCCACTACCTAGATCAGCTAATGACATCATTTTATCCAGCAGAAACATTCTGACCTACTTGTGAAAAATAGGGGTAAATCACCATAAGCCTAGAATGAGAATATATATAGAGTAGTCTGCTACTACGACTGAGCACACTCCCACATAACATCCACTGCGAATGTGTCACATATTCTTTTTATTTTATTTTTTTTAAGATGGAGTTTCGCTGTTGCTACCCAGGCTAGAGTGCAATGGTGTGATCTTGACTCACTGCAACCTCTGCCTCCTGGGTTCAAGCGATTCTCCTGCCTCAGCCTCCCAAGTAGCTGGGATTACAGGCACCCACCACCACACCCGGCAAAGTTTTTGTATTTTTTTTTTTAGTAGAGACAGGGTTTCACCATGTTGGCCAGGCTGGTCTCAAACTCCTGACCTCAGGTAATCTGCCCGCCTTGGCCTCCAAAAGTGCTGGGATTACAGGAGTGAGCTACTATGCCCAGCCAAATGTGTCAGATATTCTAACTGTAGTGGACCCCTAGGTTTATCAGAACTGGCTTATGACCTGTCCAACTGAATTCTCTAGAGGGGCTTTTGTAAACTCTCAGAGAAGCTAAATCTGAAATCAGAGTATGACTTAGAATCTCTATTCAGGTAACATTCTCAGAAAGCCTTCATCTGAGCCTTCTTATAAAACTAGGCTTATGCTTGTTACTCAATTTTTAAAAAACTAAAAAACAGGCTGGGTGCAGTGGCTCATGCCTATAATCCTAACACTTTGGAAGGCTGAGGCAGATGGATTGGATTGCTTGAGTCCAGGAGTTTGAGACAAGCCTGGGCAACAGGGTGAAACCCCATCTCTACAAAAACTACAAAAAATAGCCTGGCATGGTGGCACACACCTGTAGTTCCAGCTACTTAGGAGGCTGAGATGGAAAGGTCGCTTGAGCCCAGGAGGTCACTTGAGTCGTGATAGCACCACTGCACTCCAGCCTGGGTGACAGAGCGAGACTCTGCCTCAAAAACAAAAACAAAACAAAAAAACACCCTAAAAAAATGAAGTAAAATAAAAATTACTTAGGAATATAAATATAGATAATTCAATTCTGAAGAAAAGTAAAGCAAGGATTACACAAAAGTCCAGACTATAATTACTTCTGGGAGGAGACATACTACGAAGTAAAATAAAAATTACTTAGGAATATAAATATAGATAATTCAATTCTGAAGAAAAGTAAAGCAAGGATTACACAAAAGTCCAGACTATAATTACTTCTGGGAGGAGACATACTACATGTTTTAAGTAAATAGTATTTGATTGCTACTGTGGAGACATACTAGTATCCATATTATTACTGTTCTTTAAACTATACATGTATTTTCCATGCACTATTTGCATGTAGGATACATGGGAAAATTTTTTAAAAATCAATTTAAAAATATTGCCCTAATTAGTACAGTGGTGAGTAAATAAAAATATAGTACAGCATTTGGTTTATAAAATAATGAGTTAATATAAACACACATCTACAATAAGAAACAAAAACTAGCTTCTATTAACATTCAAAATAAGTAAAAATGAAACCTCTTTTAAGTTATGAGAAATGATAAGATATTTTTATGGAGATCCATTCTTTTATCTCATAGATATGTCCCCTTCCCTGCCAGTCAGATTTAATAAATCTCTGCTCCAATCCTCATTGCTTTTATTACCTATACTTCATTTTGCCTTAAATACTAAGCAATAATCCCATCATAAAAGAGGTCATGTCAGGCCAGGCGCGGTGGCTCACGCCTGTAATCCCAGCACTTTGGGAGGCCAAGGTGGGCGGATCATAAGGTCAGGAGATCCAGACCATGGTGAAACCCCATCTGTACTAAAAATACAGAAAATTAGCCAGGCGCAGTGGCGGGCGCCTGTAGTCCCAGCTACTCAGGAAGCTGAGACAGGAGAACAGTGTGAACCCGGGAGGTGGAGCTTGCAAGTGAGCTGAGATTGCGCCACTGCACTCCAGCCTGGGTGACAGAGCGAGACTCCGTCTCAAAAAAAAAAAAAAAGCAGTCAGTCCAGGTGCAGTGGCTCCTGCCTGTAATCCTAGCACTCGGGAGGCTAAGACAGGCCAATTGCTTGAGCCTAGGAGCTCGAGACGAGCCTGGTCAACAGGGCAAAACCCCGTCTCTAGAAACAATATAAATATTAGCCGGGCATGGTGGCATGCGCCTGCAGCTCCAGCTCCTTGGGAGGCTGAGGTGTGAGGATCTTTAGAGTCTGGGAGGTTGAGGCTGAAGTGAGCTGAGATTGCACCACTGTACTCCAACCTAGGCTACAGAGTGAGACCCTGTCTCAAAGAAACAGAGATCATAATAGTCATAATCAGGACAAACAAAGTTTGGTGTTCTTTACAACAACTTGTCAGTATACTTTTATGGTCTGATGTTGTATAACACAAACTATGCATTACATTGCAACAGAAAGGATGGCACAGAAAAGATTAAAAAACTAAAGTAACAATGCTAAAAGTTGAATATTAAATGTTAACCAAAATTTTATGGTGCCCTTGGATCTACTAGTAATAAAAAATTTGAGGCCTCAATCAATGGCTGATTTTATTTCAAGTACAGGTTGAACATCCCAAATCCAAAATCTGAAGACTCCAAAATCATACACTTTTTGAGTGCTGACGTGATTCTGAAAGGTAACGCTCACTGGAGCATTTCAGATTTAGAATTTTCGGATTTGGCTTGTGGAATGCAAATATTCCAAAATCAAAAAAAAATCTGAAATCCAAAACATTTCTGGTTCCAAGAATTTCAGTTAAGAGATATTCAACCTGTAATAAGAGAGCAAACAAAACTCTGGTAGAAAAAACAGTAGTTGGTAATGTCACTGAATTACCTTTATAGAACTTGACTCATAAATTAAAATCAAATACTTGCACAACAGAACGATTGTTATGTTTACCTTGAAGTCCATTAAGGATCGAAGTAATTTCTATGGACTTAATATGAGCAGTATCAGAGTTTTTGGCATCAGTGAGATCCAGTTTGGATACCATTTCAGGAGATGGATTTGTCTGAAATGGTGGTTTGGACAAGCGCCGAAGTTTACAGTTTTTTGGAGAGTATTTTTCATCTTTGTCTTTTTCTTTGTCTAATTTATTCTAGGTTAAGAAAAAAAGTATGTCGTAATTTATCATAAGGCATTTATCAGAAACAATGTTAATGTCCACTTTTAACTCACTATTACAGAATATGTTGTTAAATATTTAACATAAAAAGAAAGAACATAAGAAGCCCCTCAAAACAGCCAGATTTTTAAAGCTACTTAACAAAATACTACACAGGATGATCAAAAGGTTTTGTATTTATACTTTAATAACGGGAATCAAATTAGCAATCAGATAGGTGATTAGGACTAGCAAACCTACAACTTGCTCTTCAGAATTAAAATCACAATACGTTTAAATTAAATACTAACTAAAAAAAGAGGCCAGGTGAGGTGGCTCACACCTGTAATCCCAGCACTTTGGGAGGCCGCGGCAGGTGGATCACCTGAGGTCAGGAGGTCAAGACCAGCCTGACCAACATGGAGAAACCCCGTCTCTACTAAAAATACAAAAGTAGCCGGGGTGGTGGCGCATGCCTGTAATCCCAGCTACTCGGGAGGCTGAGGCAGGAGAATCGCTTGAACCTGGGAGATGGAGGTTGCGGTGAGCCAAGATCGCGCCATTGCACTCCAGCCTGGGCAACAAGAGTGAAACTCCGTCTCAAAAAAACAAGAAAAAAAAGAAACGATTGCAACGTGGTCATTTTAAAATCTCACTATATGTGGGTTGGGAATGACAAAATTCCAGGTACTTTTGTAAAGTCAAGTCAGGGGCAACCTTCCTACCTCAGTGATATATTAATGTTTTGAGAAAAGATGAGAAATTTTCTCAAATTATTTGTTTACAAATAGATAAGCAAAGGCCGATATATTTCCTGGAAACTACTCTTAAAAATTTTGTTGATTTATAGGAAAAATAAGCTCTCTGAAGCATGAGTTAGCAGTAAGCACTATAAATTTTGAGTGAGAGTAATTCTCCTAAGGATGGTACATATCTAGTATCATTCCAGATGCATAGAAGATGCTAATCAAACATTTAGGAAAATTTAGTCTTAGAATGAATAATTCTATCATACATAAAAGTAACATTAATTTTCCATATGAGCTCCTAAGTAAATCCTCATGGCATTTTCGTGGTTAATAGGATCCTGTGGGGCTGGGCGTGGTGGCTCACACCTATAATCCCGGCATTTTGGGAGGCCAAGGCGGGCGGATCACCTGAGGTCAGAAGTTCGAGACCAGCCTGGCCAACATGGTGAAACCCCATCTCTACTAAAAATACAAAAATTAGCCAGGTGTGGTGGTGTGTGCCTGTAATCCCAGCTACTCGGGAGGCTGAGGCATGAGAATCGCTTGAACTGGGAGGTGGAGGTTGCAGTGAGCCGAGGTTGCACCACTGTACTCCAGCCTGGGCAACAGAGCGAGACTCTGTCTCCAAAAAAAAAAAAAAATCTTGTGAATATATTCTAAGCCACTGACTATAATCAGATAAAGAAGAAGAGAAAAAGGAGTTGCCAGATAGCCTTTTCTTCCTTGGAATGGTTTACAGCTACAATAATAACCTATGTCTCTCCAAGTCACACTGCCTTATGGCTCCTGGTTGGGAACTAGAGGGGAAGGAAATGGCAGAAATAGATAAATAAAATCTGGTTGAATGGCTTTATATAATGTTGGGACTGAAAAAGTCTCAAAGATCATCCAGTACTGTTTCTAAAATGCTTTCCCTAACCTGACAAAATTAATTATATACAAATCTAGCATTTGAAAAATGTGCTATTTCAATAAAGTGTAACACTAACACATATTTAATTGCATCATTTGGAGGAAAACTTCTTTTTAAGAGCTAATAGTGTGTAGTAAAAACAAGCACTTACCTTTATTTTCTTCCGATGTTTTATCTTTGGCACATTTTTATCAGCAGGTCTTACTATTTTATCTGCTTTAATCCATTCATCGTATCTAAAATTAAAGGAAATTAATATAAATATGTACAATATATACCACGGAAATAACCTATGCCATATTAAAGAGAAACTCATATAGAATCTTGACATTTTAGAAGGGAAAGGACCTTGGAAATCATCTCAGCTTCCTGGTTTGAAGAGCAAGCTACCAAGGCACAAAGAGAGGGAGGTAATAACTTGCCCATGGACTTAAAGTTAGCTACTGGCCGAGCCAAGACTAGAGAGCATGATCTCATGATTCCTCAACTAGCACTGCTTACTCGGCTACAACAAAGAGAAACTGAATCTGTACAGTAAGTATTAAGATAAATCACAGTATTTTCTACATTTTGTTTTACTTTGTTTCATTCTTAAGCAGCAGGTAGGCAATTTTTCTCTAGACACATCAGAGAGCTAAGGTAATAGCTTCAGTTTTAAATGGCATTGTGTAATAGAAAAGCACCGTATTACAGCCAGGCACAGTGGCTCACACCAGTAATCCTAGCACTTTTGGGAGACCAAGGCGGGCAGATCACGAAGTCAGGAGATCAAGACCATCAACGCTAACACGGTGAAACCCCATCTCTACTAAAAATACAAAAAATTAGCCAGACGTGGTGGTGGGGGCCTGTAGCCCCAGCTACTCAGGAGGCTGAGGCAGAAGAATCGTGTGAACCCAGGAGCGGAGCTTGCAGTGAGCTGAGATCGCGCCACTGCACTCCAGCCTGGGCGACAGAGCGAGACTCTGTTTCACAAAAAAAAAAAAAAAAAAGAAATAAGAAAAGAAAAGCACCATATTGTAACGTATGGATAATGCAAAATCAACTAGAAAAAAAAAATGCTTGCTCATAAAATACCAGAAAAACATTACTCTGCAAAGTTTTTCAGTATTCTGAAATGCTCCCTACATGTACAGACAGCTGAGTCAACAGCTGTGATGGCCTCTTGATTCAATGCTGATGGTCTTCACAATTTCATAGGGTGCAAATTACTATTAACTGCAATAAAACTATTTGTTTAAAGCAAAAAAAAAAGAATGACAGTTTATTCGTTCTTCATTCATTCAAGAATTATAACAGCTAGAAGAAGTAAACATTAAAAACTAATTGACATTCTCTTTTTGTGTTCAAAGTTATATACATTACTCATAGAAAACACAAAACTCTAGAACATGGACACCTGAAAACGAGCTTTTAAATTAAAATGTCCTCATTGTTAGAGGTATTAAAAGGAAGTAACAAAGTCCCCAAATCAAGAAGTAAATGACTTGAGTCATTACTTGACTAATAAATTATATTCTTACTCTAGCATAGGCCTGGAAAGTATCTGTAGCAAACTCCTGGGCAGTTACTCTGCTGGTACAAACTACTGGCTTGTAGCCAGTAAAAGCCAGAAAAGCTGAGGATTCATCCCCATGCAAGGGGTTCTGTTTATATGCTGGAAGATGCTGAGGGCCGTAATAAGAATAAGAGGGAATGGAATGAGCTTTAGGACAGACTTAACATAATCCCTGCTTCCTAGTTATGTGGTCCTGATCAACTCATTCTCAATCTAAGGCTTAGTTTATTTCTGTATAAAATAAGACTACAATTTAAAAACAAAATAAAAAATAATGGTACATACCATATATGGGTTTTTTTGTAGAAATATATGGTAAGTACTGGTGTAAGTACAAATATATGGTAAGTACTTTGAAAAGCTTTAAAGTAAGTATTCTTCTACTAAATACACTCCTTTTGGTACTTCTACCTGGCACTGTAGCATCTATCCATATATTTGCAGCAGTACTTTTACCTTTCCTATTAATATCGAAAATTGTATAATGCTTAGGAAAGCAATTTACTTCCTTCCAAAATCGGGGGCATGGTGGGAAACGAAAAGAAAACACCTCCATCCTCTGTAGATTTCAGTATGAACTCCTAGAAGTTGCTCTATTAGAAGAGTTATGGAAAGAAGAAGTCAAGATATCAACTTTGTTTTTAAAAGAAAACAAAACAAGCTTTCTAATTTTTTATGAGAGAAACTGAAGTCAGTTCATGATGGCTGCACATAACATTAATGTGAGCTAAACAAAGTTATAATCATGTTCTACCTTTCTTAACCAAAGGCTATCTGTTCTGTAGCTAGTTTTATACCAGACATGTTTTACTATCAATAAAAAACTGACTCAATTCAACCTGGGTTTTATTATCAATTATATTTTGAAGTAGGGTAAAATAGTAGTTTTCAATTTAAGAATACATGCATGATATTGCACATTTGTATATTTTACATGCAACACCAAACACATCAAACAAGGAAAAACAGTTACTGCCTCATGGGTAAGGCCACTGTGATAAAGGAAGATTCCTTTATTACTCAGATATAATGTATGTTGTTTAAATTCTCTTAAGAACAAGGTGGCAAGAACATACACATAAATAATAAAATGATGGATGCTTGGTATGGTACAGGCTGGGGCCCACTGCCTAAGCTCTGTAAATCCTATATGGTAATCATGTTCTCTTCTACTCAATTATAAAAGAAGGATGGTACAAGAGGACTGGATGTCAGAAAAATGTTAAGTAGTTGAGTTTAGATGTCAAAAGTGTGTTGGAGCAGGCAGGACACACACACAAAAATAAATTCTTAAATTAGATGAAACAAACTACATACATAGTTGTAATTAACAGTATGGCCTTACTATTCTGGAAAATTTTTGTTTTAAAATTCTCATGGGGCCGGGCGCAGTGGCTAACGCCTGTAATCCCAGCACTTTGGAAGGCTGAGGTGGACAGATCACCTGAGGTCAGGAGTTCGAGACCAGCCTGGCCAATATGGTGAAACCCTGTCTCTACAAAAACACAAAAATTAGCCAGGCATGATGGCGCATGCCTGTAATCCTAGCTACTCGGGAGGCTGAGGCTGGAGAATCGCTTCAACCCGGGAGGCGGAGGTTGCAGTGAGCCGAGATCGCGCCATTGCACTCCAGCCTGGGTGACAGAACAAGACTCCGTCTCAAAAAACAAAACAAAAAAAATTCTCATGGAATACTCTGTATGGTTTTAAGAAATTCCCTGAAAACTTACTATAGAGTAATAATGTAATCTAACAGCAAACATAATGTATAATAATATTACATTATATTTATAGATCTAACTTAACAGATCTATAAATATTAGCTAATATTATGACTCTTCTGTTATTTGGCTTCTTTCTATTCTACTTTCTCAGTGCTTTTATTTGTTTAATTCAGGCCCTTGTTTTGACACTAAGTTTTTGCATTTTTTTTTACCTTGCCAATTATGCTCTTTGTATAAAACACAGTTACACAATATTGTTACTGTTATCAAAACTAATAACTTTTAGAACTAGAGCATATCTTAAAAATTTATCAGGGCCTTTATTTCACAAGTTAAGAAATTCCAACAATGAAAGTGAAAGACAGTGCTTGCCAAAAAGCACTCCTGTGGAGAATTAGAGAAGAGAAGGAAATGGACTGCCCGGGAAAAGATTCTAACACGAAAATAACGGTAGGGGGCATTCCAGGCCCTATTCAGAGTAAGTTTAGTGAAGAGTGAGAGACCAGTGGCGTGAAGAGGAAGAAAAGGAGAAAATAACATGTGAGAATTTTGGTTGGGGAAGCTTTTTCGAATTACAAATGTCCTTACCAAATACAAGCTGAGATCACTGACACAAACATATTGGCAGACAAGTATTTCAAAACCTAATGAGACGTTAAATAGCACTTTAGTTGTCTGATAGATCTTACAAGAAAAATAAAGATGGTCAGAAGATTAAATAACTATAACTGATCATTGCTTTTAAAAATAAGAAATGTTCCTTCCGTATATGTAATTACCCATTACAATACTACCCAAGTGTTCCTTCTATTTTCTCTACAGGATATTTTCAAAGAATAGGGAAAAAAAAAAAAAAAAGCAAATTCATGTGGGGAGGCCGGGCACGGTGGCTCACACCTGTAATCCCAGAACTATGGGAGGCCCAGACAGGCAGATCACCCGAGGCCAGGAGTTCGAGACCAGCCTGGCCAACGTGGTGAAACTCCGTCTCTAACAAAAAGATAAAAATTAGGCCGGGCGCAGTGGCTCATGCCTGTAATCCCAGCACTTTGGGAGGCCGAGGCAGAGGTGGGCAGATCATGAGGTCAGGAGTTCGAGACCAGCCTGGCCAACATGGTGAAACCGTGTCTCTACTGAAAATACAAAAATCAGCCAGGCGTGGTAGCGGGCGCCTGTAGTCCTAGCTACTTGGGATGCTGAGGCAGGAGAAGAGCTTGAACCCGAGAGGCGGAGGTTGCAGTGAGCCGAGATCGCATGCCACGGTACCCTAGCCTGGGTGACAGAGCAAGACTCATCTCAAAAAAATAAAATTCATGCGGGGAAAAACTCTACATGAAAACCCCATATTTCCTACAGACATTAAAATTATATAAGAAAGAACGTCTTAGACTGGCATAATTACTGGTGCCAATTAATTTAAGAAAGCAATATTAGTGGGTCAAGATTTCTCATTCCTTACCAAAGAAGCACAGGCTTCAAAGAAGAATTTACTTCAGAACTACAACAAAAAGCTACAGTTAATCCTACTTCTTCTTTATAAATTTAGACTTTTAAAAATACAGTACATTTAGTATATATTAAAAAGAGACAACACCAAATTTACCTTAGACATAATAGATAAGAAAATAGTCAATGCAGATAGAAAATGGGAAATTTTAGCTCAAGTTCACATATCTTGAATTTCATAAAAAATTAAAATAGGCCAGGCCCGGTGGCTTATGCCTGTAATCCTAGCACTTTGGGAGGCCGAGGAGGGCGGATCACAAGATCAGGTGTTCAACACCAGCCTGGCCAACATAGTGAAACCCCGTCTCTAATAAAAATACAAAAAAAATTAGCTGGCTGTGGCGGCGGGCACCTGTAGTCCCAGATACTTGGGAGGCTGGGGTAGGAGAATCACTTGAACCCAGGAGGCAGAGGTGGCAGTGAGCCAAGATCGCACCACTGTGCTCCAGCCTGGGTGACACAGCGAGACTCTGTCTCCAAAAAAAATAAAATAAATAAAAATAAAGTAAAACAAAATAACTGGAAAGGAAGTGGCAAAGAGTGAAACTGCAGCTAAGAAATAGAAGGCCATAAAATATTTCTCAATTTCTCCTTGGGGTACCACGTCAAGTAAGATATCTATTCATCCCCGAAAGTACATTCTTAAGGAATACGAGAATCTTCTTTTTTTTTTTTTCTTCTTCATACAGAGTCTCTGTTGCTCAGACTGGAGTGCGGTAGCGCCATCCTGGCTCACTGCAGCCTTGACCTCCCAGTATCAATTGTCCCACCTCAGACTCCTGAACAGTTGGGACTCCAGGCATTCACCACCACACCTGGATAATTTTTTTATATTTTGTAGAGAGAGGGTGTCACTATGTTTCTCAGGCTGGTCTCAAACTCCTGGGCTCTAGTGATTCGCCCACCTTGGCCTCCCGAAGTGCTGGGATTATAGGTGTGAGCCACCGCATCTGGCGGAATACAATAATCTTAGTAAGTAAGTTAAATACAAACCTTTTGGTTTTAAAATGCTTCCAGACCAGCCTGGCTAACATGGCGAAACCCCATCTCTACTAAAAATACAAAAATCAGCTGGGCACGGTGGCGCATGTCTATAATCCCAGCTACTCAGGAGGCTGAGGCAGGAGAATCACTTGATCCCAGAAGGCAGAGGTTGCAGTGAGCCAAGACTGCACTACTGCACTCCAACCTGGGAAACAGAGCAAGACTCTGTCTCAAAAAAATATGTAAAATAAAATAAAATAAAATAAATTGTCTTGCAATTTTAGATTCAAGCAATACAGTTTTCTGAAAATGTGAAAATTCAGGTAGACTGGGTTGTTATTTTATATATATGTGTATATAATATATACATATATATACACAATATATACATATATATACAATCCAGGATAGTTTATCTATCCTGGCTTTAACTGGTCTTAACCTTTAGGAATTATGATTACAAATCATAATTGGCCTTTTCATAATAACAGGAAATAAATTAATTTTGCAGGGCACAAGGGAAACAGCATTACTAAATGCTTCCATTTAAAAAGAAATACTGAAATAAACAAAAAGTATTGAAACAAATATTAAAAACAAATATTGAGTTAGAAAATTAAGACAGTGATTAGCCTATACTTTTTCAATTCAGTTATCAATACAGTCAATGTAATTAATTCTACAGATGGAATCTAAACAAGTATCTTATTGAATATTTATCTAAAGTACTAAGGAAAATATTTCCAAGGTATATATATGACTTGTCTGATAATATTTCTATTGAGATCACTTAACATTCAACTAACAAAACATAAAATAACATATGCATGATAAACTCATTTAACTTCTGAAGATCTAGTATGTTCCCTGACCTACATAAAATGAAGTACAATGAAAAAAAAATTTTTTTTTTTTTGAGACGGAGTCTTGCTCTGTTGCCCTGGCTGGAGTGCAATGGTGCGATCTCAGCTCACTGCAACCTCCGCCTCTCAGGTTCAAGTGATTCTCCTGCCTCAGCCCCCTGAGTAGCTGGGATTACAGGTGTGTGCCACCACGTCCAGCTAATTTTTGTATTTTTAGTAGAGACTGGGTTTTGCCATGTTGGCCAGACTTGTCTTGAACTCCTGACCTTAGGTGATTTGCCTGCCTCAGCCTCCTGAAGTGCTGGGATTACAGGCGTGAGCCACCACACCTGGCCGTAGAATGAAAAATTATATGAGACTCCAAGACCATAAGTACACATGTGGACGTATTCATTTGACAAACACCTCTAAGGTATCTATTATGTAATAACAGAGTCTGCTAGGCACTGGGTACTCAGCAATGAATCAACAAACACAGCCCTTGCCTGCGAGGAGCTTACAATTCAACAAAAGAAGACAATACTAAACAGTAATGACAAATTGTGAATACAAACGTGAAACTTTCTGAAAGAAGCCACCACACAAATATTTGATTTTTCAAATGTTTAAAAATATTCATACAAGGCTAAAAGATACCATTCAGAGACCACAGCATACTTGCTCTCACCACAGAAAAATTGGATTTCTAAAAAGAAAACTTTATGGCTTTTGTACAGATGCATTGGCAAATTATGTAAGAAATCATTTTGTAATAATAAAAATGGAAAAGAACATTAGTCGACCAGATATACTACCAAAATGGTTAATATGCCCACATCAATTCAGCTTTTGGTTCTTCTTAAACCCAATTTTAAAAGAAATATTATCAGCATATAGTTAATATATACCTAAAAAGCACAGTCTTAAGAGATTTAAAAATAAACAGCATGCAGAATAAAGGTATTTTAAAAATAACTTCGTAAGTAAAATCAAATTAATATAAACTTGAAACCTCACTCTTTGAAATATGTATAGATAAGATAAAAATCTAATAACCAACCATTAAGTAAATGTTAAAATCATCTATATTTTGCTTTCTATAATGAATAGATTCATTTAATAATTGTTGCACAATATGTATTTTATATCTTGCCTCTCTATAATCAAAAAAGTTAATGTATGTCATATAATTAACTTACTTAGTTTTTAAGAACCTCACATCTAAAGTGGAAATTTGTACTGTCTTAGTATGGAAAGGGATTTCCCCACCTGAATTAAATAAATAAAAGTATGACAAAATAATAGAAAAAAACACCAAGTCAAGATAAAAAGCAGTGTTAATCATTATTAATTATAAACTTCATAAGCAATTTTATCAATATTTACCTACTTTATGAATTTTATATAATCTCAATTTATATGTATTTTAATCTGACTATCTAAAACAAGATATATGAAAATAACAACTGATCACAATTAATACTTTTAATCATGTATCTACAATAAAATGAAACAAAAAAGTAGTATATTATTCAAAAATAAAATTCCTGCCGGGTGCAGTGGCTCACATCTGTAAGACTAACATTTTGGGAGGCCAAGGCAGGCGGATCATGACGTCAGGATTTCAAGACCAGCCTGGCCAGCATGGTGAAACCTCATCTCTCCTAAAAATACAAAAATTAGCCGGGCATGGTGGCACACGCCTGTAGTCCCAGCTACTCGGGAGGCTGAGGCAGGAGAATTGCTTGAACCCAGAAGGCGGAGGTTGCAGTGAGCCAAGATCATGCCACTGCACTCTAGCCTGGGTGACGGAGCGAAACTCCGCTTCAAAATAAAATAAAATAAAATGAAATTCCTAAGTATGATATAAACATTTCATATTTCTACTTCATATAACACTTAAATCTACATCAGAGAGACAGCGATGGTATTCCTCACACTTAAGAATATAACAGCAGAATGACAGAACCATAAATATTATAGCATAGTCATATTTAAGAGTTGACATAAACAGCTCAACGGAATGGTATAGTAATTATATCAATAGGTTTTCCTAAGCAATGTAACGCTATAAAATGAAACGGAAGTATAGGTCTTTAGGCAGAGGTAATATGTAATAATAAGAACACTAATACAGCATTTTACCAAAGCGTACAAAGACAACTGCAAATGGTTAACTGTGCCATTAATTGCATATTGTAATGCAGATGCTAAGTTTTTTAAATTCCCCAAAAGTGTACTTTGTTAATATTTGATAAATGTATGGAATTAGTTATTTGTGCGTACTTAGACAAAAATATCAATGTACCTGCCAATCTACGAAACTACTGAATGAAACAGGTCCAAGTTTAGTAAACATTCTAAGATGAATACACAAAGAAAAATTAAAGCCCATTTGAGTACAACACATAACTGAATTATCATCTTTTTTTCATGAAGGAAATGTTTATGTTCATTTGTACTCAAAATCTATGGTTAACTCAAAAGCCACTCTCTTTTAATACAAACTTACAGATAATGGAAACCACTGTCAAATGGTCATTTTATAGGCCTCTGACTTCTGTACTATAGAAACAACGCAGACAACTTCCCAGGGTACCTTGCTTTCTATCATTACCAGGACAATTATTTCAAAGAAAATGAGTAGAACAACTTTGTACTCTATTTCAATATTCCTAAATCCAATGGCATACACAACTCAAGTACAGCAGGGATCAGATTACATGGAAATAAGAAAGAAAAAAAATGAAGGACACAAAACATTTTAGAGCAGGAAAGAACAAAGAAATTAAGCTGAAAAGTGACTTAAAAATTTTTTAAGGACAAAAGGAGACTAAGAATAGCTAAAAAGTAACAGAAAATTAATATTTCCAATCAAATTCATTCCAGTCTCTCAGTCTCGACTCCATTTTGTTTGCTAAGAGATGAGCTCTTTATGTAACCCAAAGAGGTCACATATATCATATACAAATATGAACTCAGATTAGAACAACAATGTAAACATTACAGCTAAAACTATAAAGTTCTTAGAAGAAAACATAAAGGAAAATTTTCAGAACACTGGATTTGGCAATGTTTCTTTGGAAATAACATCAAAAGCAGAGGCAACAAAAGAAACATTTGCAATCATGTATCTGATAAGGGAATAACATCTAGAATATATGAAGAACTATAATTCAACAACAACAAAACAACTGACCAATTCAAAAATGGCAAAAACTTGAAGGGACGTTCCTCTAAAGAAGATATACAAATGGCTAATAAGTACATGAAAAAATGTTCAACTCTACATTTCAAGTACATGAAAAAATGTTGCATTAGGAAAATGCAAATCAAAAAAGCACAATGAGATAAACAGAGAATAACAAGTGTTGACAAGGCTGCAGAGAACCTGGAACCCTAACACATTGCTGGTGAGAATGTAAAACGGTGTCGTCTCTGTGGAAAAGTTTGACAGTTCCTTAGAATGTGAAACACAGAGTTATATATAAATGAGGTGAGAAGCAGCTCCAGTGAGAGGGTCAAGCCATATCTGTCCCAATCCCCTATTATAGGTATCACTTTAAAAAACCAGTGGCTTTTATTTGGATTTTACCTTCTGCTCTACTTCCATTTTGTTGTCAGGAGGTCCAATTTAGTTCAACATTCATTTAGTACTTATCATATGCCAAATGAATACTTTTCTAGATGTGGTAAGGGATATTAGGAGAATAGATATGAAACAGAAATTTTTTTCATATTTTAAAATTAAGTTCACTTTTGTAATAATACATAACGTAGTCCTAATGTAGAAAGCTTGAACGATGAAGAAAAAAAGAAAAGGAGGGGGAGGAGAGTTGAAGGGAAAGAATTTACCCAGAGTCCTAGGTGAAAGTTATATTCCAGATCAAATTCCTTTGGCTCGGAAAAATAATTTAGAAAAATTCAATATCAGAATTGTGACTCAAGTTAGGATTGGAAAAATAGGAACAGAAACCAAAAAAATGTTAAATGGATATCAGAAAGAAATAGGGGAAAAATTAGAAGGGAGAAAACACATAAAGATGAGGAAGACAGAAAAGATAATTGAGGAGTGGTTTCTTAATTTTGAGAAAGGAAGAAAAGGAAAATAAACAAGAAAAATGGTTGTAGCTGGAGCAGCTGGAGCCCAAGCAAAGCATATCACGGAAGGAGTGATCAACTGACTGTAAAGCCACTGATAAGGTACGTAAGAGGGCAAGAAAAGCAGGAGGAATTTATCTACAAAGGGTCACTAGTGTTCCTGGTAAGCACAGTTGTGGAGACACAGTGAACAAAAGGCTGATGAGAGTGGATTTACACAGAAAAAGGAGAGAAACTGAGTAACAAGTGTAGGTAACTTTCAAACAGTTCTGCTGAATGAAAATGGAGCGAAGAAATGTCACAGTAGAAGTCAGGCTCCAGAAAAGATTTTCCTTGAGATGTGACAAATAACCACAGATCTGTAAGTAGTGGGAATGACTCAGAACAGAGCAAGAAAATGGGCCATGTCTTTGATCAGTCAAGAAGGGATGCTTATGAAGACTGGCTTCAGACAGTAGCATGACTGTATATCTATGGCTAAAGATGAAAACACAGAGAATGTGGCAGCAAACGCAGTTAGGTAGGCAGATCTTATGAAGTGTGTAGAAATGTTTTTCTTGTTTCTATCTCTCAGTAGGTACAAAGCAAGGTCACCAGCTGAAAATGAGGATAGGGAAGAGATGTTGGGGATGTGAAGACATAAGCAGCAGTATGAAATAGTCTTCTAAGAAAGTAGGAAAGTGAATGGAAGAAGGACATAGAGAATTAAGGACCCACTTGAGGTTCACAGTAATGAATTTAAAATAAGAACAGTCATTGTGGTTGCTTGCTTTACTCCAACCACGATCGGCTGCACAGGTGCAGGCAAGGAGCTGGAGGGTTAGATTTAATCAAGGTTCTTGTGGTTTTGTCAGATGAGTACTATAAAGCAAAAGGAGAGAAAAAGAACAGCTTGAGTCAAAAGAAGTGATTATAATAATAATGCCAGGGAATGTAAGCAATATCAAGGGAAGACTGAGTGCATTAACTGGGGTGAAGAGGTAAGGGGTGGTAGGATCAATACCTTAATAAAGAATTTATTATTATTATGAATTCCTTAATAAGGACCACTTCTTGGTATCTTTGGTGACAAGCACAGTATTTGGCACATAGTGGGTATTCAACTTATGTTTGGAAAATAAAGGAATAAAGTGTGATAAAAAGCAACTGAATGATGGCAAAAAATAGGATTGAGCCTACTCATTTGTGAAAGCCTTTTACCAGGTTTTTTCATCCCCTAACTCATTCCCTCCTAAGAGGATTTAATTTGTTTGGCGAAAATATTTTTTAAATGTAACACATTTTTAATTTCAAATAATATATTTAGCATAATTTAGCTTATTTTCAGTTCTCTGTAACTGTTAACATGCACTAGAACTGTTGTGGCTTATTTAAGAGTTTTACAACTGAAGTTTTACAGTGTCTCTTTTACTTTTGGGTTCCCATTAATGCAGCTGGTGATCTTCAACATACAAAAAATTATTCTCTAACTAAATTTGCAACTCTTTGATTACAGAAAGCCAAGTTGGAAATGAGCGAGAAAATTCAATCAGTATTGATACACTATTACAAAATATTGATGTATTTTAAATTCCATGCCAATTAGTCTAGATAGTTTCACTCAGTTGTTACTAAACAAAGAAATCCAACACACTCAACTAGTTTACGGCATGTTAATTTCAATGTGTACCCTTACTTTCAAAAATCAATCCCATATTTACGACACGACTTAGAAACTTGAGAGTGAAAGGGATCAATTAGATAATTATGCTAAGATTCTCTATAAAATATTAACATCACTAAGAAAAGTTAAATAGAGAGCCTACTATTAAAAACTACTTAAGCAGAACTAAATTTTTTTTAAATGTAGGGAGACATTTTAAAAGACTAAAAGAGAACACACTATAATATTAGTAATTTTATTATTATTTTTTTTCTATTTTTTTGAGATGGAGTTTCGCTCTTGTTGCCCAGGCTGGAGTGCAATGGCGCAATCTCGGCTCACCGCAACCTCCGTCTCCCAGGTTCGAGCGATTCTCCTGCCTCACCCTACCTAGTAGCTGGGATTATAGGCATGTGCCTCCATGCCTGGCTAATTTTGTGTTTTTTTTTAGTAGAGATGGGGTTTCTTCATGTTGGTCAGGCTGGTCTCGAACTGGTCTCGAACTCCCAACCTCAGGTGATCCGCCCACCTCGGCCTCCCAAAGTGCTGGGATTACAGGCGTGAGCCACCGTGCCCGGCCGGCCAGCAATAATTTTATCTTTCTACTTTTATGTATTTTTCTAAATTGTTATTTTTAGAAGAGTTTAAAAAATAATTTATGAGCATACTCCAAACATGCCTAGTGCTTGGTGACATAGTAAGTAATATAGTGCTAGACAATAGTTTTAGATACTGTCACTGCATCAGAAAAATTCTGTAAGAGTATTATAATATTTGTGGTTAAAGAGTTCAAGCCCTTTCCAGTAAATGTGGTGTGAACATGTTAAAATATGACTTTTTTTCATCACAACAGTAGAAAACAAACTTGCCCAAATGTTAACCTTTGTATAACAAAAATCAACATTTTCAGCTGTGAAATAGGGACATACATGAAAATTATATTAAAGATTTATACAGGTCGGGCGCAGTGGCTCACGCCTATAATCCCACCACTTACGGGGGCAGAGGTGGATCACCTGAGGTCAGGCGTTTGAGACCAGTCTGGTCAACATGGTGAAACCCCATCTCTACTAAAAATACAAAAATTTGCTGGGCATGGTGGCATGTGCCTACAATCCCAGCTACTTGGGAGGCTGAGACAGGGGAATCTTTTGAACCTGGGAGGCGGAGGTGACAGTGAGATGATATCACGGCGCTGCACTCCAGCCTAGACAACAAGAGCAAAACCTCATCTCAAAAACAAACAACAAACAAACAAACAGCATTTTAGTTAGAAAAAAAAGAAAAATGTAAAAATTAACAAGAAAATTGATTTTTTTGTTTTTTGTTTTGTTTTTTTTTTTTTGAGATGGAGTCTTGCTCTGTCACCCAGGCTGGAGTGCAATGGTGTGATCTTGGTTCACTGCAACCTCTGTGCCCCTGGATCAAGTCATTCTCATGCCTCAGCCTCCCAAGTAGATCGGATTACAGGCACCTGCCACCATGTCTGGCTAATTTTTGTATTTTTAGTAGAGATGAGGTTTCGCCATGTTGGCCAGGCTGGTTTCGAACTCCTGACCTCAGGTGATCTGCCCGCCTCGGCCTCCCAAAGTGCTGGGATTATGGGCATGAGCTACCCGTGCCTGGCCTAAAAACAGTATTTTTAAACAAAAAGACAGACACTCTTACATTATTTGAGAAAATCTCTTTACCGGAAAAACATGTTTCATGGCCAGGAGCATTGGTTCATGTCTATAATCCCAGCACTTTTGGAAGCCAAGGCAGGAGGACTGCTTGAGCCCAGGAGTTTGAAACCAGCTTGGGCAACATAGTGAGACCCCATCTCTACAAAAGATAAAAAATTAGCCAGGTGTGGTGATGCACACCTAGAGTCCCACCTATTCCAGAGGCTGAGGTGGGAGGATCACTCGAGCCCAAGAAGTCGAGGCTGGAGAGCCATGATTGCACCACTGCACTCCAGCCTGGGTGACAGAACAAGGTCCTGTCTGTCTCTCTCTTTTTTTTTAATCTGAAATACTTGTTTCAGATTAAAAAAACCATGGAAATAGGTCCACACAAATCTCCCAAACTGCTTGTCATGAATGACTACCACTGAAGATAAAACTATTTTCATGAACCTCCACGCATAAATCTTCATTTCCAATTTCACATCTGTTAAGTATAAATTTAGAGATCAAGCTGAAGACCCTAAAAATAAAAGAAAAATTGTCATACAGCTGATGAGGATTTGTTGCAGTCCTTATTAAATTAGCTTCAGAACTGGAGGAGCCGCAAAAATAAAAATTATTGCTTATTTATCAATAAGACAGACTGATTATTGCAGAAAGAAATAAAATAGTTATGTTAACTCTAAGAAGATTAACTGCTTAATCTACTGAAGTACATTTGTTTTCTCCATGATGTTGGAGTGTATAGAGATCCATCCTACAGGTCTTCATCAAGATGTTAAGTTTTCTTCTTTTGAAAGTTCATAGCATACAAGCACTTGAGTTCTCAGAAATAGATGGCAACGTTCACAGTAACACAAGCATGTCTTGTTGAACTAGGTCGCATTTTCCTCCCTATATTATTAAAAACTTGAATGCCTCAATTTAAATTCTTTCCTTTCCCTTCCTGCTATTTAAAAACTAAATTACTAGAGATTCTTTCTACCATCTAAAATCAAAATACTCCTGGAATTCTCTTTCTTTTAGTCAATCTTTTCTTAACAAAACAAAGCTATATCTTAATTGTAAAACAGTTTCATGAATGACTCAGTTCTTATATCTACTAAGCCTTTTTTGTTTAAAGAGCCAATTAATAGAAAATAAGCCTTGGCCGGGCACGGTGGCTCATGCCTGTAGTCCCAGCACTTTGGGAGGCTGAGGCAGGTGGATCACCTGAGGTCAGGAGTTTGAGACCAGCCTAACAAACATGGAGAAACCCCATCTCTACTAAAAATACAAAAATTAGCTGGGCGTGGTGGTGCGTGCCTATCTCAGCTACTCAGGAGACTGAGGCAGGAGAAGCGCTTGAACCCGGGAGGCGGAGGCTGCGGTGAGCCAAGATCCAGCCACTGCACTCCAGGCTGGGCATTAAGAGTGAAACTCCGTGGAAGGAAGGAGGGAAGGAGGGAAGGAAGAAGGGAAGGAAATGAGCCCTGATTATATACAGTGAAAGTTGGAGAACACCTAAATTCTATCCCTTTTTCATAGAATTTCAAATACTTCATAAAGGCCAAGAGGAAAAACTGCCTCTACATGTAAACTAGCAAAATAATCAGAAAAACTAAAAAGAGAGGCAAAAGGTGTTGTGACTCTATCTCATGGGCATTATGCAGTAATTATTCGTTTTTGCTAATCCAAGTATTTCTTAATTTAAGAGATGAGGTCTCATTCTGGCACTCAGGCTGGAGTACAGTGGCATGATCATAGTTCACTGCAGCCTCGAATTCCTGGGTTCAAGTGATCCTCCCACCTCAGTAGCTGGGACTACAGGCATGCAACACCACACCCAGCTTTTTTCTTCCTAATTTTAAACTAACATATTCTACATTTACATTTATATCCTAGGCAGAAGTAGAACTCCCTCTACATTTATATTCGGTAAGATAATTTAGTAAGATCAAAATGACTAGAAGTAAAAAATTGGGCAAAATATTCTTTTGGTAGCTATATCTGAGATCTCAAGTACCTTCTTTGGAATATATTCATTAATAGCCAGACCTTCAGGTGAGGAAAATCACATACCAGAAAGGCAGCATAAGAACCAACAGCTGACACCCGTAATCCCAGCACTTTGGGAGGCCAAGGCAGATCACCTGAGGTCAGGAGTTCAAGACAAACATGGCAAAACCCCATCTCTACTAAAAATACGAAAATTAGCCAGGCACAATGGTGGGCGCCTATAATCCTAGCTACTCAGGAGGCTGCAGCACAAGAATCGCTTGAGCCTGGGAGGTGGAAGTTGCAGTGAGTAGAGATCGTGCCACTACACTCCAGCCTGGGCAACAGAGCTAGACTCTATCTCCAAAAAAAGACAAAAACAAAAACAAAAAACAGAAAAAAAGAACCAACAGGTGAAAGGATAAATTGTGCAGTGTGTTAAAGTGGTATCTGGAAAAACTTATGTTTCTGGATGACTATCACATCTAAGCTCTGACGATAGGTATTCTTAAAATCTAAAACTGTATCCTGATTAGACATAATAAAGAATGAGACCAAAACAAAACTTCTGAACATCTCCTCATGACTTAAGTTGCTATTTGCTATTTGCTATTTTCTTCCAAGCATCAGAATGGATCGGACTGGTACTTTTCTCAAAATAAGAAAGGTAATCAGATTAGATCATGAGCTTCCTATTACACAACAGGACAACAAAAAATTTAAGAAACAGAATTTTGTATAGTATAATTTATTTAAAACACATGCATGTAAGAATACTATATATTTTCTATGAGTACATTTATATGTATGTGAAAGTAGAATGAAAAGTTAGTAAGGACAGCCTCAAAACTCTCAGAAGTGATTTTCTTTAGAGAAAGGGCATTGTGGGAAGTGATTAAAGAGAATCAAAATTTCATTTGCAACACTCAAACACAGAATTTGAGATGATGCCTTCCTATTAACTTCCCAAACCACAGAATATAATTTAAGTATAAAGCATGAGAACTGTATTCCTCCTTGAAGACACTAGGTACACCATGAAACCACAACTTAAACTTCTATGGTTAATCTTTCCAGGTATCTGTCTTATAGGCTACATTTCAAATATACTATCAAATATTCTAAAATAAATGATTCTTAAAAGATAACTGAATGAATAGATCCCAAAACTGGCTTGCCAATTTTGGATAAAATCAAAATACAAAATTTCTTTGGAAAGCCAAAGAAAATTTATCTAAGAAAAATGCTTAAGTCATTGAACATGACTTAAAACCAAATTTCACTCTTGCCTTTCAGTTCCCTAGGTTAGGAGCAGTCAAAAAGTGCATTCTATTTTAGTGAAGCAGGTCTGCTTACATGTTCAACCAGATTTTTTCAAAGATACTAATAAATTTCTGAGACTTCTGAATAAGGCTGTAATGCAATAGCTGTTAATAAGGAGATAAGGCTTTCTTAAAATAGCTAATGTTTCCTAGGATTTTAAATCCCTGACTACAGAAGGAAAGAAATGACTTCAGAATACAAAAAAGAGGTTACTGTGGCAATGTAGTTTAAAATGCAAGACAGCAAGCAGCCTGATAATTGGTTTGTAGATGTCCAGAAGTTCTGATCATTTCAACAATGTTTTGTCTGCTGATCTACATGTAGTACATAAAAATCAAGTGTGTAGACCTCGGTTTTCTAGACATTAGGGATATCTTCTAAGTAGTGAAAACATTAATTGTAAGTCACTAAGTGAGGTATTTACATGCTAAAAACTATTTTTTATAAGGTACTATGACCTCAATTAGAATACTAATAAATCTGTAATCCATTACTTAAGTTTTTAAATAGAAAAGTATTTTATAATTGTTTTTAGGTAATAATCACTAGCTAAAACTCAAGTTACCTCACATTCCATCCGCAGTAATGCACCAAGTAAAGGACCTCTCCACCTTCGACATCAGAATCTTTAATACTAGCTTCATACATTTTTTGATTTTTCCCTCGTCCATACCGCACTTGGACTTTCATGCCTGGTGGATAGCACTCAAACTCCTCTTCCTCATTGTTGTCATCATCATCTTCATCCTCTTCTTCTTCTTCCTCCTCCTCCTCCTCTTCTGCTTCTTCATCATCTTCATCTTCTTCTTTATTCGTTTCATCTCTTGAAAGGTTTAAAAAATTGCAGAGTTAATAAAAGACACTTCATAAGTTTTTCAGTTCCAAACCACATATATTGATAAAAGTTGTGGCTGTGATTGTTCCAGGAAAAGCAGGTTCCACGTGTATGAAATTCTCAGAGTTTCATTTTACTATTAAAAACTAAAACTGTAAGACAACCAAGGTTACAGAAAGACACATTTAGAGAAAATGAAGATTCAAAAATAAGTGCAGTAAAAGAAAATTTCCAAAAGTCAGAAGAACAGAATTTGTGCCGAACAGCAAGAAGCAAGTATGGTCAACTCTAACAATTTTTTCATGTTTTATTAATAAAAGTGTTTTAACATCTCAATTGACAAAAAAATTCATTATACTTCATTGCCATTTTACAACTAAAAATTATTTTTCATTCAAATATTTCCAGCCTCAAGATGTTTGTTTCATTTTTTTAGAGACAGAGTCTTGCTCTGTCACCCAAGCTGGAGGCCTCAGGAAGTTTGAAACAATAATTTTTACTAGCAGATGGCAGTCTTAATAACTTTAAAACATTCTCCAACCGAATTTTCAAATGTTATAATAACTGAAATACTATTTTAATTTAAACAGAAATATTCTAATAATGTACTACCAATATCTTATCATGTTTGTTCTTTCCTTTAAACTTCAACACAATTTCTACTCTCATTACCACAGATTTATTAACATCTTCTACAAATCTTCTCAACTTTGATGTTCCAAAGAAATAGACAGATGAGAGGCCAATTACAAGTATATGAAACTAAAAGTCAAACTATTCTAGAAAGAGTATTACATCCTTTTTTTTTTTTTTTTTTTTGATAGATTTTCACTCCTGTCGCCCAGGCTGGAGTGGTGCAATGGCGCAATCTCGGCTCACTGCAACCTCCGCCTCCCAGGTTCAAGCGATTCTCCTGCCTCAGCCTCCCAAGTAGCTGGGATTACAGGCACCCACCACCACACCCAGCTAATTTTTTTTGTATTTTTAGTAGTGACAGGGTTTCACCATGTTGGTCAGGCTGGTCTCAAACTCCTGACCTCAGGTGATCCACCCACCGTGGCCTCCCAAAGTGCTGGGATTACAGCCGTGAGCCACCACACCTGGCCTTACACCCATTTTTATCTTCTTAGTACCATGTACTTTCTAAAACTGAGCATTCATATCCTTTTTATATTGACCACCAATCTGTATTCAACAAGTTGGAGAAAATCTTCAATCATAAATCTTTCCAAACACTAGATTTATTTTTTAAAAAATTTCAATATGAAATCCAAGGCTACATTTAGTCTGGTTTTATTTGCTGTCCTGTATGTCTGTACTTAAAGACTCCATCACTTTAGGGCTCACAAATGACTAAACATCATAAGGCAGAACAACCAGATAGTTTAGTATTTAAGCTTTAAAAATTAATAATATGTAAAATACATGATATATTAAAATATATGCTATATTATATATTAAGAGTAATGATTATATATATACATATATTACACCATGCACACATATATATGTGTGTGTGTGTGTGTGTGTGTGTGTGTGTGTATATATTTTTCCCCCCCTTGGAGACATGGTCTCACTGTGTCATCCAGGTTGGAGTGAAGTGGCCTGATCACTGCTCACTGTGGTCTTGACTTCCTGTGCTCAAATGATCCTCCCACCTCAGCATCCCAAGTAGCTGGGACTACAGGCACACACCACCACACCCAGATAGTTTTTTATTTTTTATTTTTGTAGAGACAGGGGTCTCACTATGTTGTTTAGGCTGGTCTTGAACTCCCGGGCTCAAGCAATCTTCATACTTTGGCCTTCCAAAGTGCTGGGATTATAGGTGTGAGCCACTGTGCCCACCTGATGAATATAATATTTATATTAAAAAAAAAACTTCCTCCACTGAAAATTTCAGCTTTATATCTCTATATGCAACCTTTTTAGGGATAATATACTTTATCATTCCTAATTAATTATACAGGCAACAAAAATAATATATAAATAGTGATATAAGCAGCACTATAATGCTTTTTTATTCTCCTTGTCCTTTTGTATAGTGGGGCAGGAGTGTTGGCAGGATGTTTAATGGACCGGTGGAAGTAAGTCCGTGTTCACGAAAGTATCAAATATATCAATTTTGTCTGAACTATAACACAAATTCCTCAAAAATTCTCAAGATTTATTCCTATTTTAAAGACTCAGTTACAGTCAAATATATAAGTATTTAAAAAATCTAAAACCTTCATGAAACCAGCTATAATCTGAGATATACATATATATGTATACACACACACACACACACACACATATATACGTGTATATATATATACTTTTTTTTTGAGACAGAGTCTCGCTCTGTTGCCCAGGCTGGAGTACAGTGGCGTGATCTCAGCTCACTGCAACCTCCGTCTCCCAGGTTCAACCAATTCTCCTGCTTCAGCTTCCCAATAAGCTGGGACTACATGCCACTACGCTCTGCTGATTTTTTGTATTTTTAGTAGAGATGGGGTTTCACCATGTTGGCCAGGCTGGTCTCGAACTCCTGACCTCAGGTGATCCGCCTGCCTGGGCCTCCCGAAGTGCAGGGATTACAGGCATGAGCCACCGCACCCAGCCTGAGATTAAAATATTAACAATGTTATTGAAAATAATATTTCTATTATAAAAAAGTAATTTTATTAAGGCTAAAATATCAAAAAAATTAACAGAAATGGGATTATCAATGATAAATTATTATGAGGAATTTTATTTTATATAGTAAATTAAAACAATTTTTTTTTGAAAGAATACTTGCCTAAGTCATAAGACTCTATCTTTGCATAGTGGGGAAAAGAAGCATATTTTATTGTGGCCACAATAAAAGAGATTTATCATGCACCTCAGAATCATCATATAAAAATGAGATATAGAATCAAAATTCTAAATTTTTTGAAATGACGACAAACTCCAAGCTGTATCTTACATCATAGAATACACTGAGTTGATGAATACAAACAATTCTAAATGCCAACAGCAAGCACAATCATACTTTAAGTAGTAGCCCAGGCAAATTTTCATTCAATCTACAACAAAAACCCAACACTCTTTTATTAATGAAATCAAGCAATCAAAAATTAAAAATATACATTTAATATCACCCTCAGACACAAACCAAATGAAATTCACTTTAATAATACACTGAAGTATAAAGAAAAAAACAACATAATTACTGGCAATCAACCAAAGAAAACTATTCTACTCTCTAAGACTTCAGTGGCAAATTCAAGACTAATGTGCTAAACCAGATGGAACACAGAATGCCAAGAAAGAGAGCCTCTGAAAGTATAAAATGCAACCAACATACATACAGGTTAAAAAAAATTAAGTTGATGCATACACTACATACATGCACTCATATACATACATACACTCACATACATACATACATACATACACACACATATGCATTTAAGCTAGTCATATTTTAGAGAAGAATATCTTGGGAAACGAAATGTATCAGCAAGGATTTTCATCTGAATTCACAAAGAAATATCAAATCTTCCCTACTTGATATTACACTCTTTACAATGAAACAAAAATTTTAAAAAAGATAGTGTATTAAGTACGTGCTATGGCCAAGGCACTGAACTAGACATTTTACATATATCAACTTCTTCAATCTCCCACATCTGGACAATGGAAGAAGGACACTGAACATTCTTGGTAGTAGCCTATTACTTAGAGAAAGTTTATATGCCAGAAAAATACCTATATATTAATTATCACTGTAAAATTTTCCACTGCAATTATCTAATAAAACTCAAAAATCAATTACAGTAAGCCCCTCTTATCTGCAAGGGATACAGTCCAAGATCCCCAGTGGATGCCTGAAACCGTGGATAGTACCAAACCTTATATATACTGTGTTTTTTCCTATACATACATACCTCTGATAAAGTTTAATTTATTAATAAGGCACAGCATGAGATAAGCAATGACTAATAACAAAGCAATTATAATATGCTATAATAACAGTTATGTGAATATGGTCTTGTCTCACTCTCTCAAAATATTTTATTGCACTGTACTCACCTGTTTTCAGACCACAGTTGACCACAGGTAACTGAAACTGTGGAAAAGCAGGGAGTACTATATAAACAGTCCCAACTGCAATGCTTCTAAAAAATATCTACCAAACTAGGGCAGTCACATCAGGAAAATTTTAGTTTGAGGTACGCATATACTAATAAATATCTGTAGTACATAAAAATCCATATAATTATACAGTTAAAGGGGTTGTTAAAAACCTACAAAATACAGTTTATTCTATAAAATAAGCAGAAGCACCAACTTAAAAAATTAGCAAAGAAAAAAATACAGATTTATCACAGTGCCTTGCAAACAGCAGATGTTCCAGAAACATCTGCAGATTTAAAAATCAGATTTTTTGGTAAAAAGCTGAATCTTTATTAAGATTCTTATCAAAATGATCTCCTTTAGCAGTACTTTAAACATACACTTCTACACATAGAAATATAACAAAGTATAATCAACAAACACTTTTACTACATTCTTCTAAACCCAGGATGTTTTTCTTCCATGTTTGTATGGTGCCACCAAAATTTCAGAACTCTGATCAATCAAAAGATTTTAGGCAAAAAGCTGAAATCTTTACTGTTTCTTAATACTTGAAATAGTCTCCAACAGCAGTAAGGCATACTTCAAATATATATTTTTATACACAAAAATACAACAAAGTATAATAAACATTTTTTACTATATTCATATAAGCCCCATTTTTTATTTTCCCCTTCCCTGTTCGTCTGCATACTGTGGCCAAATGTCAGTACGCTAAATGATTTTTTTTTTTTTTTTTTTGAGACAGAGTCTCACTCGATCCCCCAAGCTGGCCTACAGTGGTACGATCTCAGCTCACTGCAACCTCTGCCTCCAGGGTTCAAGAGATTCTCCTGCCTCACCCTCCTGAGTAGCTGGGATTATGGGCACATGTCACCACGCCTGACTTCTTTGTATTTTTAGAAGAGACAGGGTTTCGGTATGTTGGCCAGGCTGGTCTTGAAATCCCGACATCAAGTGATCTGCCCGCCCCGGTCTCCCAAAAGTGCTGGGATTACAGGCGTGAACCACCGCACCTGGCCTGCTAAATGATTTTTTTTTTAATTCATTGTACTTATTTAAATGAGACACTAACAGATATGTTTATGTTTTTTAAGCCTCAGAAAAAAGATTCAATGCCAAAGATTATCTATAAAATCCAGGGGTCCACTAGCAGTGCATAAATTACATTGTCAAATAATTCATCATTCCAAGTGACTAAAACAAACAAATGCTACTATCACATAAAATAGAACATACAATTTTTGGCCTTTTAAAACTTTAGTATTTTTCCACTCTTGCTTTTGCTTAAGAAATAAATACAACTCTCAGAATCTATAGCCAACATACAATATATAAAACATGGACATAGCCCCAAGTTTATATTATCAAGTAATTCAGCAGACCTAAAAAGTACTTTGCTCTAGCTAAAAATTTTATCAATTTCCATGATGAGAGCAAGAAGGGTGGATCAAAGTATGATCTTTCTCTACAAATTTCTATCAGTAGGGTCTCTGAAAGAAGTGAATGCTATTTAATTAATAAATGCCAATCACTCTATTATTTAATATTTTGTCAATTAATTTAGATTCATACATAAACACATACAAAGAGCAAATGATAAGAATCCATCAAGCTGAAATGCATCGTAACCAAAAACAATTTTCTTACCCAGATTTTGCTTTTTCTTCCTCAGCTTCTACCTTTATGTTGAGGGATTCATCTACCCTAGTTGTGTCATCATCTTTGTCATCCAGATTTTCATTGTCTTCTGGTTTTTTAATGTTAACTTCTTTTTCCTGATCAGAATGTGTAGGTATAGATTCTAATAAATTCTTTTTACTTCCCTAGAAAAAGATCAGAGGAAAGAAACCAACAAAAGTAAAAATTTTCAACCTATATCCATGGTTTATCTCTTAGCAACAGGAGGTATCAACCAATTCTAATATTAAAAGTTATAAATTACTTTTAAGAAACTCCTGCTACTTTAAAGCTCTAGACAAAAATAGCTAACAGCTATTTTGAAGTTATGATAAAAATTATACAAAAGTAGCACTTAATGAAGAAAATAAACAAATAATAAAGAATAATATTATACAATATATTGATTTTGGAACTTTATAGAGGATATGGAAAATATACCAAAGAAAGCAAAAGACAATTAACAATATCTGATTTACCAGAGAGGGCTTAATATTTTCTTTTCTTTCAATTTCATCCTCAATAGGCTTTTCTTCTCTTGGTATTATATTCCTCTCCTCCTCCATCTTTATTTCTTTGATCTCTGTTTCATTTTCCTCCTTAACTTTTATTTCTTTTACATTTTCACACTCCTTACATTGCTTGTTAACAACTTTCTCTGGCAATGCCATCTGAAATTCAATGTTGGCTGATCTACAGTACTCCTCAAAACCATATAAGTATCTGGAAACATGAAGAGAAATTACATTTGGTGAAAACATTTCAAAATATAACTATAGAGTTATTTTTAATGTGTATTCATTTCTTTTGTCTAAACTCTCAGATATTGAGCCATATTAACATTCTAATTTATTCTAGTTCTTTCTAATCTTTTCAATGCAAAAAAAAAATTTTGTCAAAAAATTCATTTAAAACACTGTGCTCAGAGTCATAACAATAACAGCTATTAAAAGTATTAGTAATAGCATCTATTTTTTGCACATTTCTTATGTGTGAGGCTGGACTCCTTAGTAAATCTCATTTAGTCACTACAGTAACCCTGGGGCACACAGCAGCATCCTTTTTTTGTTTTTTTTTGTTTTTTTTTGTTTTTTTGAGACAGCCTTACTCTGTTGCCCAGGCTGAAGTGCAGTGGCGCAATCTCAGCTCACTATAACCTCCGCCTCCTGGGTTCAAGCAATTCTCCTGCCTCAGCCTCCTGAGTAGCTGGGACTACAGGCGTTAGCCACTATGCTCAGGTAATTTTTGTATTTTTAGTGGAGACAAGGTTTCGCCATGCTGGCCAGGCTGGTCTTGAACTCCTGACCTCAAGTGATCTGCCCGCCTCGGCCTCCCAAAGTGCTGAAGTTACAGGCATGAGCCACCGTGCCTGGCCAAGCATTCCATTTTACAAATGAAGAAACTGAGGCTTAGGAGAATAAATAACTGGCCCTAGGGCATAAACAGTTAATAATTGGCAGAACTAGGATTCAAATGTGGATTTACTTGACTTCAGAATATTAGCTTTTTAACCTCTATGAAGTACTTGACAAATGTACTTAGCCACAAAAACTTTCTTCACAGAATTTCTCATAGATCTAGTATCATAGAATACACTTTAGAAAATACTATCATAGAATGACTACTCTAGTAAAATGTTCTGATTTCTTTAAAGAAATAATTAACCTCAGTTATAAGGTAAATTTCATCCTGCTTTCTAGGTAAAAATACTGAAGATAATCATATCAATTATACTAACTTACTTTTTATAAGCACATTTAACATTGTATCCTGCAGCTGAATTTAAGACAGGGATTCCAAGATCTTGGTAGACTTGTTTCCAAACAGCTCCACTTTCAATCTAATGGACAAAGTGAAACAAAAACTCTCAAATTAAAAGGTGTTAATATAATAACATTTTGATAGACACAGTATATATGAGTATATTTTTATATTTATTGGTCCTAGACTCAAAAGAATTTTTAAAAACTTGATAAATTCTAAATTTGGTTTAAAAATAAAGGTTTTAGTACTCTAACAAATATCAGAAAATTATAAATGTTGAAATATTAAGTCATTTGACTATTTTTTTTTTTTTTTTTTTTTTTTTTTTTTTTTTGGAGACAGGATCTTATTCTATTGCCTAGGCTAAAGTGCAGCAACAGTGGCACAAACACAGCTCACTGCAGCCCTGAACTTCCGGGCTCAAGGGATCTTCCTGACTCAACAACCCAAGTAGCTGGGACTATAGATGCACACCACCACACCTGGCTAATTAAAAAATTTTTTTTGTGGAGATGGAGTCTCACCATGTTGCCCAGGCGGGTCTCAAAGTCCTGGGCTCCAGCAATCCCCTGGCCTTAGCCTCCCAAAGTGCTGAGATTACAGGCATGAGTCACCATAACTGGCCCCATTTGACTTTTAAATAAACCCAGTTATGGAAAATGGAAAAATATTCAGGCTCTTAAATCAAAATTTTTAACAAAGAAATGGAGACAAACATTTTTAAAGGATTTATTATTTCGCATAAAATATACAGGCTAATAAATGCAGTTCTGCAGAAATTTGTAAAGTATTTTATTCCATAGAATATTCTCAATTGGATAAGTATCGTACATCACGTCAACCTTAAAATAATTTCTTCAGATCAGTTCAACAAACATTTCCTGCTTTAATCCCTTTATATTCTGAAAGGGATTAAGAATATACAGAATATTAAGACAGATCCCTGCTCTTAAGGAGCATACTGTCTAATGAAAAAGAGACACAGGAAGGATTTCCACCAATATGGCTGTGCTGTGACTCAGATAAAAAAAGAAGGTTTATGAAAGATTGACCAATTTAACAGTAATCAGAAAGCTGATATGAAAAAAAATCTTTTTTTTTTTTTTTTTGAGACAGAGTCTCATTCTGTCACGCAGGCTGGAATGCAGTCCAGCGGTGCAATCTTGGTTCACTGTAATCTCTGTCTCCTGGGTTCAAGCGATTCTCGTGCCTCAGCCTGCCATGTAGCTGGGATTACAAGCGTGCGTCACCACGTCTGGCTGATTTTTGTATTCTTTGTAGAGATGGGGTTTTGCTATGTTGGCCAGGCTGTTCTTGAACTCCTGGCCTAAAGTGATCTACCCGCCTCAGCCTCCCAAAGTGTTGGGGTTGCAGGCATGAGCCACCATGCCTGGCCTAAAAAATCTTTAAAATTTAAATTTTGTCTGAGGAGGCTAGCTGTACTTTCCACTTTATCTTCTTCTTAGGTTTTTACTGAAAAACTTTGTTTTGTTGTTTAGAAAAACAATTTCAGAGATGGCAGATACCTGAGAAAACATGTTACATGAAAAAGATGTTTCAGTTTGACTACAACACTCACATTATCAAATCCTCCAAGTTTGTGTACAAGTCTGAATAACTTAAAGAGATTCAAATTTCGATATCCAAGTACAGGTCGTTTGTTAATAGGTGTACCTGTTACAGAAAACACAAACTATATTAGATCCACACTACATTTTTAATTTAAAATTTCAAAAGATTCAAATAATACAAGTATTTATAGTATTTTATATATATATACACGTATATATATATATACACGTATATATATGTGTGTGTATATATACATATATATGTATATATATATATGAGAAATTATCTTGTTAATCAAAGACATGGTATCTACACATAAATAAGCCCATGGCCACTTTAAAATTTTTTAAATTTTAAAAACCATAACCAGATTCTTGAAACCTTTTATTTTCATTCTACTTTCTTCCCTCTGCTGAGGGAAGAAATACTAGATAACTGCTTCCCAATAAGAGTTACTTTTATGGCATTTTCTTTGTATTTTACCAATTTACTACTACTCTAAATAATGATTCTATAGTAAAGCTACATTTTTTTTTTTTTTTCATTCTAACACAAGAAAACGCAAGGCAAGGATGCTAAATCAAACAAACCATGAGAAAGTGGTAGAGGAGGTAACAGGGTAGGGGTACAATGCCTCATATGGCCATTTCTACAAAATATATGACTGGCTTAATCATATTTTTTCATTCTTTTCTAGTATTAGATTTTATTCATTTTCTTTGCTTTTTCATTTATCTTATACAAGAGCCTATGAAACAGCATACTTCTTAGGCCAACCCTCCATTCATGTAAAGAAATAATACAAGAATCAAAGACATTTTATATTGAAAAAGAAAATATACTTATATTGTGTTAGGCGTTGTTATCATTTATGAAAACTAAACATGACAAACAGAGTCAGTTTCTACTCATCAGCATTACAATCAGGGATTTAGAAAACGTTCAATTCCCAGAGTATTGTGGTGTTTCCAAACACTAATCATTCATTTTGCCCTTCCCTTCCAGCTAGAAAGCCTCTCCTTACTCCCTTACAAGCATCTTCCCAGAAAAGAAGAAAGTAGACTCTGACCAAGAAGATAAGCTAGAGAATAACAGTGTTGAGGTTACGGAAGGATTAGTTCATTACCCTAAGTTATTCTTCTTCCTTCAATCCTTCCGTGGCCTTAGCAGCTTCTGGCAGATTAAATAAGCTGAGCCAAGGCTCACTTTTGAGACTTTGTCACACTTCTTTATCTATTTCTGGCTTAATTCCCATTTTGCTACTGTTCTTTAGGGACCCATGGATAGGTAAAGGGATTGGCAGGACAGGGTAATAAGTGCATTTATGTGTCCATAGCCACAATATCTGTCAAAATGCTATCAAATTCCTCATTCTACTTGTTACGTGACAGGCGCTATGCTAGGTGCTGGTGATATCAGAGTCAAAAAGACAGCCATAATTACTGATGACATAAAGTTCAGTAAACAAAATTCTATTCTTATTTTTAAGATACTAATTATCTGTCCAAAACTTACCACGTTAATGATAAATAAAAAATACTCACCTCTATCTTCCATAAATTTGTACAATTGCTGAAGAAAGTTCTCCCTTTCTTCTGGAAATGGTTCTATTTCTTCCTAATTTTAATCACAGAAGAATATTATTTTCTTCAATTAAGCATTTTAATAAAACAAGCAGATTTCTTACCAATAGCAAAGACTAGTGTTCATTAAAATACTTCAAAGGCTTTTTACGTAATCAAAGTTACTCTTTTAACACTAAGCTGTTCAAAACCAGGTAAGTCTAGACATTTTATGTTTTATAGAGGAATATGCCTTAAAAAGTATCCCAATAGTTAGAATCCCCACAGTAAAAATTCCCATATGAGAAAAGGGACTAGCAAGACTGTTCGTGGTTTTGTTTTGTTTTGTTTTGTTTTTTTTACCATATGAGAGAGCTATTTTTCAAATCAGGATCACAGGTTCAAGAATACCTACTCTCAACTTATGCGAAACTGGATCAGAGTTAAACATCAAAACTAATTCTATTATTGCTCCTCAAGGTACTATAAAAGTATGGGTCCCATTAGCTGACTGCAAGTATCCTTCATTTTATGCAGCCCCACTGTATATACTTCAAGCTTACATAATCAGTAAAGTGGGGAACAAATTTGATCTACAATACCTGAAGATTCAGACTTAGGGAAATCTTCAAGTAATAAAATAGTTCCCCAATTTATCAATTACAAGGGAAGGACTAGCTTCTTGCTGCTGTGGCCAAGGGCTGTGGCAGCAGGGAGCTGGTCCTGAAGCAACCTGCAAGGAGCAGGGTAGTAGGTTAAGATTGAGGAACTCACCAATTCAATGACTTTCATCCATTCAACAAACACTTGAGCACCTGTAAGTGTAGGTACTATGCCAGGTGCTGAATCAAATAAAAGAAAAAATAGGCTATGGAGCCTACTGTTACAGAACATGATTAGGAGTAACTGCAGAGAAAATGATTCCAAATATACAGCTAGGCTTTACAGTTACTCTGGCTTAAATATACAGATTTGTAACAGTAAAAGTTAGGATATTCAACTGGTAATCTAAATAAATAAAAACATAGCATTTTTCAATTTGGAAAATCATGTGCCTAATGCCACTGCTTTAGCGAGATTGTCTTTTTAATTTAAAAGCTAGTACAACAAAGAAAGGTAATTTTTTTTTTAAAGCCTATGTTGATCAACTATTAGGTTTTCTAATTGGGCAGAGAAAAATAAATGACAACCATTAATTTGCTAATGATGAATCTGTATTTCTCAATTTAAACACACTCCATACATTCAGGTTTTGGTAAGGTGATCAAATACAAATCTAAGGACATCTATTTTCTAGATGTTATCTTAAATGTTCCCATGGTACAATATTTAACTTTAATAAACAGCACAATTTTTCCTATTCCAAAAACATTTAAGGTAAGCTTTTAACTCAAGAAAATGTTTACACTACACTACAGATTTGCTTTTACAAAAACACTTGTGAAAACACTAAGCACCAAAAGGTTTGGTAGCTATTTATCATCTGTTATATTTTACACACTATGACAGACACTTTAAGTATGAATACGAGTAAGACAGCATTCCTAACTTTAAGGAACTTACAAATTCGTGGGGAAGAAAAAATAGACAATAAATATAAATGACAAAAATATGTATAAGGAGCAGTAGTAATTCTTTTTTTGTTTTGTCTTGTTTTTGAGACAGAGTCTTGCTCTGTCGCCCAGGCTGGAGTGCAGTGGTGTCATCTCGGCTCACTGCAACCTCCGCTTCCTGGGTTCAAGCAATCCTGCTGCCTCAGCCTCCCTAGTAGCTGGGATAACAGGCACCTGCCACCACGCCCAGCTAATTTTTTTTTTTTTAGATGGAGTCTGGCTCTGTCACCCAGGCTGGAGTGCAGTGGCGTGATCTCGGCTCACTGCAAGCTCCGCCTCCCGGGTTGACACCATTCTCCTGCCTCAGCCTCCTGAGTAGCTGGGACTACAGGCGTCCACCACCATGCCCGGCTAATTTTTTGGTGTTTTTAGTAGAGACAGGGTTTCACCATGTTAGCCAGGATGGTCTCGATCTCCTGACCTCAGGTGATCTGCCTGCCTTGGCCTCCCAAAGTGCTGGGATTACAGGCGTGAGCCACCGCGCCCAGCCACACCCAGCTAATTTTTGTATTTTTAGTACAGACGGGGTTTCACCATGTTGGCCAGACTGGTCTCAAACTCCTGACCTCAGGTGATCCGCTAGCGTCAGCTTCCCAAAGTGCTGGGATTACAGGCATGACCCACCGTGCCTGCCAGGAGCAGTAGTAGTTTAGACTAGCAAATGAACTGGTGCTTTCCTGAGGTGAGGGAGGTGATGGTTCACAGGTTTCTCTTTAGAGAGATGGCACCTAAGTAGGGTTCTGAAAATTGAACAGGAATGTACCATGCTGACTAAGGAAGGAGGGGAGGAAAAGGTGGTGCCTACAGAGGTACTAGCATATGCAAAGGTGAGTAGCAGCAACATATGTAATTTGACATTGCTATAGCATAAAGTTCAAGGGGGAGGACACAGAAAGGGAAATGATGAGAAAAAATTGAGGCAGGAATTGGACTATAAAGGAGATTCTATATGAAAGCTTAACTTTTACAGTGACAAAAAGCTACTCAGGAGGTTTTTAGCAGCAAGGGAATGATTGCTGATTTTAGCAATTTAAATAGAAAGCAGTCAGGGAGAAGACTGAAGCAGGGAAATTTCTACATTATACATTGTCATTACAGATCACTACACCCTAAAATATAACCTCCAAAACAATCTCATTTCATTAATACTTTACTACAGTTAAAAGGCAGAATTTCATAACTTACCTAAAGTATTACATACTGACCAATTAATTTACTAAACACATTAAATACATTTCATTTCATGGTCAAATATAGCAGCCTTCACTATCTGCACCACTCATTAACTTTTACGAGGCTGTTCAGCAAACCATTAAAGAGTACCTTGTCACTGCCAGATCTAAAGCTCCAGGTAAAATAAAATCCAAAATTTGAGCTCTTTGAGCCATATTTTATGGCTTATTTATGATCTAATCAGAACTATCTACCCATTTGTCTTAGATAAAATGATTCAAGATTCTCTGAATCAAAGAGATATTGATCTTTACTTTTCTGCTATTTTTTTTTTTTTTTTTTTTGAGACGGGGTCTCCTACTGTCACCCGGGCTGGAGAACAATGGCGCAATCTCAGCTCACTGCAAGCTCCGCCTCCCGGGTTCAAGCAATTCTACTGCCTCAGCCTCCCGAGTAGCTGGGATTACAGGTGTCCACCACCACACCTGGCTAATTATTTTGTATTTTTAGTAAGAGACGGGGTTTCACCATGTTAGCCAAGCTGGCCTCGAACTCCTGATCTCATGATCTGCCCGCCTCGGCCTCACAGAGTGCTAGGATTAGTCATCCCAGCATGAGCCACAGTACCCGGCCTGATTTTTCTTTTAAATATTAAATGAAAGATGTATTTTATACTTTTCTGGGTTAATCAATAAAATATGGAGATGTAAGCATTTCATGAGGTGACAGCTGTCAACATGGTAATGAAAAGCATTTTAAAGAATTAGGTAGGTAGGTTCTTTTTTTTTTTTTTTTTTTTTTTTTAATAAGACAGGGTCTCACTCTGTCACCCAGGATGTAGGGCAGTGGTAAATTCACGGCTCATTGCAACCTCCACCTCCAGGGCTCAGGCCGTCCTCCCAACACAGCCTCCTCAGTAGCTGGGGCTACTGAGTGCACTGGGGCTGGAGTGCACTGACATGCCCTGCTAATTATTTTTATTTTTATTTTTGTTGAGATGGGGTTTCACCATGTTGCCCAGTCTGGTCTCAAACTCCTGAGTTCAAGTTAGCCACCTGCCTTGCCCTCCCAAAGTGCTACGATTATGGTCGTGAGTCACCGTGCCTGGCCTAGATGGTAAGTTTTTTTGTTTTTGTTCTCGTTTTTTTTTTTTTTTTGAGACAGAGTCTCGCTCTGTCGCCCAGGCTGGAGTGCAGTGGCGCGATCTTGGCTCACTGCAAGCTCCGTCTCTCGGTTTCATGCCATTCTCCTGCCTCAGCCTACCGAGTAGCTGGGACTACAGGTGCCCACCACCACCCCCGGCTAATTTTTTGTATTTTTAGTAAAGACGGGGTTTCGCTGTGTTAGCCAGGATGGTCTCGATCTCCTGACCTCGTGATCCGCCTGCCTTGGCCTCCCAAAGTGCTGGGATTACAGGCCTGAGCCACTGCGCCCAGCCTGGTGGATACTTTCTTAATCATCTCATTAAAAAAAGCATAGGAAGACTAAGACATGTTTTTGAGGTTATTAGGAAAATCAGGCTTAATATTTTCTATTTCACAAGATCATATATCTAAAGTAACCAAGTAAACTATCTGATTATGAGGATCTCAAATACAAGATTATGAAATATTTCTCATACTAAAAATACTTATATGAGTAATGACTTAATGCCAAATCCTAACCCACAAGGGAAACCCAACTGTTATTTATAATTTTAAAAGGTATCAACTGTTTTCACTTACTTCTTCTTCACTGCTATTATCCTCCTTTTCTTTTTCATCATCTTCCTCCTCCTCTTCTTCCTCTGCTTCACTGCTAGAGCTATCTTCTTTCAATTCAGTCTTCCAGTTAGCAGGAATAGTTCTACTTTTGTGAAATTCAAGTGCCTGTTCAAAGGCTGGAAACAGACCACAAGGTACATGAACTGAAGAAATTAAGACAATTGTTTTCTCAAAAAGTATTAAACACGATAAAGAAATAAAAACTACTGTGCTAATACCACTGACATTTATTGTTTGCTATGTACCAGAAACTGTGTTAAGTGCTTTTAAATGTAGCAATATATTTAATCCTATCCATCCTATGCATTAGGTAGTCATTTTATAGATGGCAAAACTGCCACCATTGGAAGATTACTTAAGTTTAAATAAATAAAAGAACAGCAGTTTTATTCTTTTAAACAAAGATTAAGCTTCACTAGTAAAAACCTTTAATACAGGAAATCATGTAATATCTTATGCAACAAACAATTATCAAACAGTATTAATACCAGGCACAGAGCCATTAAAATAAATATACAATACCTGAAAACTGACCACACATGATTTTTACATTTTCAGTTGAACTTCAATTAAAACTATGGTAACAATTACCTTCAACTAAAATTAGCTAGACACAATTATTCTCATTTTATAATATATGGGAATAAATTATATACCAAAAAATCTTGATGATTTTAACCAATCTACATAGCATATTACTGAATTCAAGGAATAAGGGCAAAGAGAAGACAACTATTTACAGTGCCAAAAATCAAGTGACAGATGCAATTACCACATATTCCTCAAATAAAACTACTGGAGCCTTGTGGTTAAGGATGTACATTCATTAGTGAGAAATACCAAACCAAAATTACTTTGATTCCTCAGTCAGGCGTGATGGCTTATGCCTGTAATCCCAGCACTTAGGAGGCCAAGGCGGGTGGACTGCCTGAGCTCAGGAGTTTGATACCAGCCTGGTCAATGGTGAAACTCTGTCTCTACTAAAAACACAAAAATTAGCCGGGCATAGTGGTGGGCCCCTATAGTCCCAGCTACTTGGGAGACTGAGGCAGGACAATCGCTTGAACCCGGGAGGTGGAGGGTGCACCGAGATTGTACCACTGCACTGCAACCTGGGCGACAGAGCAAGACTCCATCTCAAAAAAACAAAACAAAACAAAACAAAACAAAACAAAAAAAACAACAACACAAAGTTACTTTGATTCCTTTCTTCTACCATTCCCAGAAACTAATATTTTATTTACCAGGCAAAAGCTAGATTATAGTAACAGCTGACTACACAGTTCTCTCCCATTATTCTAGATTATTATGCCTGACTATAAGCTAAAAAAAAAAAAAAAAAAAAAACCAGAAAAAAAAAGGAAACCTATGGTTGGGCGCAGTGGCTCACACCTGTAATCCTAGCACTTCGGGAGGCTGAGGCAGGTGGACTGCCTGAGCTCAGGAGTTCGAGACCGGCCTGGGCAACACGGTGAAACCCCAGCTCTATTAAAATAACAAAAAATTAGCCGGGCATGGCGGCGTGTGCCTGTAGTCCCAGTTACTCGGGAGGCTGAGGCAAGAGAATTGCTTGAACCCAGGAGGCAGAGGTTGCAGTGAGCCGAGATTGCGCCACTCCACCCTGGGCGACAGAGCAAGACTCTGTCTCCAAAAAAAAAAAAGAAAAGGAAACTTATAACACAGAAGACACATGGGTTTATAAAAATAAAGGTCACAAGGAACCAAATATAACCATAAAAACATAATTTAAAGAAAAATTTTAAAGAGCAAAGAAAAATTTAATCTTCAAAAACACTTTAGCAGTTTTTACAGTACTTGTAATTTATTCCAAGATTATCCTTACCTTGCTTTAAAACAGCATCAGGCTTTGGTGCAGTGTCACTAGTAATTTCATGGACATCTTTTCTTGGAACTGAAGTACTATATATTTTTTTTAATTATAAGAGAAGAAAAAAAACCCAAAATATGACTGAGATTAATTAAGAATCCAGATGATTACATATCACAGAAAGATACTGAAAATATGGGAATGTTGACGTTTACAATAAAAGTGATTGCACACAGAGTAGCAAGTCAGAAATAACATACAAGACAGGATGTTAAAATACGTAATCATCTACAGAAGGATCCTACCATAAGAGCTATTTTATAAACACCAACGTGTTCCCAAATACCAGAGTCCCCTGCCCAAATGCAACACTGAAAACTTTTTTTGTTTTGTTTTGTTTTGTTTTTGAGACAGGGTCTCACTCTGTCATCCAGACTGGAGTGCAGTGGCACAATCTTGGCTCACCACAACCTCTACCTCCCAGGCTCAAGCGATTCTTCTGCCTCAACCTCCCGAGTAGCTGGGATTACAGGCACATGCCACTACCACCCGGCTAATTTTTGTATTTTTAGTAGAGACAGGGTTTCACCATGTTGGACAGGTTGGTCTTGAACTCCTAACCTCAACTGATCCACCCACCTCAGTCTCCCAAAGTACTGGGATTATAGGCATGAGCCACCACACCCGGCCAAAAACGATTTATGGCAATATAATGATAAAATGTTTGGGGCCAGCCATGGTGATTCATGCCTGTAATCCCAACACTTTGGGAGGTCAAGGTGGGAGGACTGCTTCATGCCAAAGTTCAAGACCAGGATAGGTAATATAGCGAGACCCAGTCTCCACAGACAAACTAAAAAAGTAAGCAAAGAATTAGCCAGGAGTGGTGGCATGTGCCTGTAGTCCCAGCTACTTGGGAGTCTGAGGCAGGGAGCTGACTGGAAAAAACCCAGGGCAGGGTTACAGTGAGCTATGATCGTGCCACTGCACTCTAGCGTAGGCAACAGAGCAAGATCCCATCTCTTAAAAAATAAAGGTTGAGCTGAGTGCAGTGGTTCACAACTGTAATCCCAGCACTTTGGGAAGCTGAGGCGAGTGGATCACCTGGGGTCAGGAGTTCAAGACCAGCCTGACCAACATGGTGAAACCCCATCTCTATTAAAAATATAAAAATTAGCTGGGTGTGGTGGTGCATGCCTGTAGTCCCAGCTACTCGAGAGGCTGAGGCAGGAGAATCGCTTGAACCTGGGAGGCGGAGGTTGCAGTGAGCTGAGATTGCGCCATTGCACTCCAGCCTGGGCAACAAGAGTGAAACTCCATCTCAAAAAAAAGTAAATAAAATAAAATAAATAAATAAATAAAGGTTGGACACAGTGGCTGACAACTGTAATCCCAACACTTTGGGGGCCAAAGTGGGCAGATCACTTGAACTCAGGAGTTCAAGACCAGCCTGGGCAACATGGCAAAAAAAAAAAACCCTACAAAAATTTGCCGAGCGTGGTGGCACACACCTGTAGTGCTAGCTACTTGGGAGGCTGCCAGAATACTAGTTACCACACTGTACATCAGATCCTGTACATTTTATTCATCTTACCAATAAAAGTTTGTGCCGTTTTACTAACGTTTTCCCATTTTCCTTACCCCCCAACAATTTAATATTAAGTCAATATTCAATTTCTGTGCTCAAATTCCTCTGATTATCCCAATTTTGTTAAAGTTGGTTCTACATTTTTTTTTGTTTTGTTTTGTTTTGTTTTGAGATGGAATCTTGTTGTTGTCACCCAGGCTGGAGTGCAATGGCATTATTTCTGCTCACGGCACCCTCCATCTCCCAGGTTCAAGCGATTCTCCTGCCTCAGCCTCCCTAGTAGCTGGAATTACAGGCGCCCACCACCATGCCTGGCTAATTTTTGTATTTTTAGTAGAGACGGAGTTTTGCCATGTTAGCCAGGCTGGTCTTGCACTCCTGACCTCATGATCCCACCTGCCTAGGCCTCCCAAAGTGCTGGGATTACAGGCGTGAGCCACCGCGCCCAGCCTACATACTGTTTTTGAAGCTAACTTTTCAGACTGGGTGCAGAGGCTCACGCCTGTAATCTCAGCATTTTGGGAGGCCAGGGCATTTGGATCGCTTGAGCTGAGGAGTTCGAGACCAGCCTGGCCAACATGGTGAAACCTTATCACTACAAAAAATACAAAAATAGCCAGGTGTAGTCCCAGCTACTCAAGAGAAATTGAGGTGAAAGGATAACCTGAGCCCAAAGGGTCATGGCTGCAGTGAGCCATGATCATGTCACTGCACTCCAGCCTGGGTGAAAGAGTGAGACCCTCACCAAAAAAATGAAATAAAGTAAAATAAAATAATTAAAAATAAAAATACCTTTCCCGAACTTGAAAATTCAAACATCAAATCTTAAAACATGATGACCTTTTTAAGGTATTTATACCCAATACAATTCTGTATAAAATATCTGGCTTCTCTAGTCATATAATTCTTAAAGAAAAATTAACAAATCATTTTCTTAACACTTACCATCCATATACAAGTAACCCATTTTAATCCTCAGACTACTGCAAAAGTTGAGTATTATCCAACAGGTATCACTATAACCATTAGACATAACTAGTAGAAGTATTGGAAATTCCTAATTAGACCATCAAGAACAAACCCTAAGGAAATAATGTCAATAAATACATCAATAGGCCGGGCGCGATGGCTCACGCCTATAATCCCAGCACTTTGGGGTTCGAGGCGGGCAGATCACGAGATCAGGAGTTCGAGACCAGCCTGGACAACACAGTGAATCCCCGTCTCTATTAAAAATATAAAAATTAGCTGGGTGCGGTGGCATGCACCTATAGTCCCAGCTACTCAGGAGGCTGAGGCAGGAGAATAGCTTGAACCCAGGAGGCAGAGGTTGCAGTGAGCCGAAACTGCACCACTGCACTCCAGCCTGGGTGACAGAGTGAGACTCCGTCTCAAAAAAAACAAAAAAATCAATAAAGTATTAAATACATTAGATATGGCAAATTTGCCTCAAATAACCAGCTATTATGTGGACAAGTGTTGACAAATTAGACAGTACTGAGTGTCTAGTTTGGAAAAGATTACCAAAATTAGTAAGGAAAAACATACTATAAGACTACAACACATTAAGATAATATGAAAAACAGTGACTCTTTGAAACATTCTGTATGATGAAAAATAAAAGCCTAAGGTAATTGGAAATAACTAATTAATCATTTAACATCCTAATTCAAAATAACAGCATATATTTATAAACTGGTTTTTCAAACCAAGTAAATTATACTTACAATTTTCCATCTTTGAAAGATCGAACAAGAATATTGTCCTTTTTTACAGCAATCTCATCACTACAATCAGGACAAACCACCTTTTAAGAAAAAGGGTGAAGCTATTATAACTAAAAGAACTCATAGATAGGTAAGTACCCACCATTTAAATCCTTTTAAAAAGTGTAAGCTTGAAGTTTAAAAACTAATTTTAGTTTGAGGGTAAACAGGCACACACACACACGTGGGAGCACACACAAGCAATTTTAAATTGGCATCCTACATCCTTCCAGCTGCTGGATAATCTAGAATTTTTGGCATAGGCAAGGCATTGAAAGCAGAAGCACAGCTATGACTAGGATGAAGCTGTGGACGAAGTTCTAGTCAGAAACAGAAAAAAGGTAGAGTTAGATCCTTAACTGAAGGGATACATCATGGCTAAGAAAAAAACAAGGGTCCAGAATTTCCAGAGCCTTGTAGGCCATATTAATTCTTAGGATAAAATCTAACATCTTTGTTGAAAGAATCTGAAACCAAAGAATGTCATAATAGATTTTCCTTTTAAAAATCTACTTTGGCTGCTATGAAGAAAATGGACCACGCAGAGGCAACTGTTCAAAGAAACTAAGCTACTGTGATCACCTGAGTGAGAGGTGGTGGCTTGGATGTAAAGTGGTGGCAATGGCAAATTAAAGGAATGAGAAATATCCAAGATAATTAGGGAAGTAGAAAGATGAACAATAAGAGGATGCTTAGTTTTCTGCCTTGTACAAATAGGCAGATGACAGAGTTATTCACTGTGAAAGAAAAACAACAAAAAAGGGCCAAGTTTGTGCATGAGGGAAGGGATAATAAGAGGAGTTTTGGGACTACTAAGTTTTAGGTGGCTAAAAGACATCCAAATGAAGACAGTGAACAGAAAAATCAGGTCTGGAGCAAAGCGTAGAGGTCTGGACTCAAGGATATAAATTTGAGAGCCCACAGCCTAAATATTAGGGGTCTAAAACTTGGGGCTTGTGAGCCAAATCCACTCATTACTTTTCCCTGATGAGCGAAGGATTTCGAAAACTGCACATGTGATAGCTTTGGCCAGTGATGACACTGGTGTATGAGTAAGTGGGCTCACTGTCCAGTTCTGCCACAGAACGACAATATGCATTTTATCCCATTCACCCATGTATGTTATTTTCTTGGTCACTTTATCTCTTTGCTATCTCTGCAAGGTGAAGCTTTAAAAGGAGATGAGATCACCGTAAAGAAAATACAGCGATACATTCTGAATCCTGAATTACAGCTTGAAAGGGTGATTAGAAGAGGAGAACCTGGTGAAAAAAACTGAAAAGGAGAACTGCATGAGCCATGGAATCTAAGATTTCCCCCTCTTAAAATGAAATTGGAAAATAAAAAATTGAGACTGAGAGTAAGTCTCAATTAGGATTAAACAATACTACTTATATTAATAAGCTCAGCACAGTCCTAGTCAGGGTAAATACTCAGTGCATGGTAGTTATTTATAGTTCCTGGGACTATGTAGTTGTTTCCTTTTTCTTTTTCTTTTTTTTTTTTTGAGACAAGGTCTCACTCTGTGCAGTGGCGTGATCACGACTCAATGCAGCCTCAACCTCCCAGGGTTCAATCGATCCTCCCACCTCAGTCTCCCAAGTAGCTGGGACTACAGGCACAGGCCACCCAGACCCAGTTAACTGTTTTCTTATGATGTTACTAAAACACTTTGAATTTACTCGATTTATAAAAATAACATAAATTAGAAACACAAATACTATTTGTGCGATTATATCAAGATTGGTCGATTTAGAACATAATTTTTCACTCTAGTTACCAAAAACTATCCATCACCGTCCAATGGATCTCAATTTTGGGAGGAGATAACATACATCAATAATTCTAAGAATTTAAAAACAACAGTGAAATGGCTGACTAAACAGATTACTAACCTTTCAATATTAAAAATCCTTAGATTTTTCATTTTCGTCAAAGAAACTTTTTAGTGATTATGGTGTGAGAAGCTTAAATTAATAACTCAAAACACTAATATTAAAAAATTTAATGTTCCTATTGAGAAAAAGACTTACAAAACAGTTGTGTGTGTGTGTGTGTGTGTGTGTGTGTGTGTGTGTTTGAGATGGGGTCTTGCTCTGTCACTCAGGCTGGAGTGCTGTGGCACGGTCTCAGCTCACTGCAACCTCCACCTCCCGTGTTCAAGCAATTCTCCTGCCTCAGCCTCCCAAGTAGCTGGGATTATAGGCTCCCGCCACCATGCTCGGCTAATTTTTGTATTTTAGTAAAGATAGGGTTTCACCATGTTGGCCAGGCTGGTCTTGAACTCCTGACCTCAAGTGATCTGCCCACCTCGGCCTCCCAAAGTGCTGGGATTACAGGTGTGAGCCGCCGCGCCTGGCCCACAAAACGGTTTTATAAAAAATATATATATATATATATATATATATATATTTTTTTTTTTTTTTTTTTTTTTTTTTGAGATAAAAGTCTTGCTCTGTCACCCAGGCTGGAATGCAGTGGTGTGATCTCAGATCACTGCAGCCTCCGCCTCCCAGGTTCAAGCGATTCTCCTGCCTCAGCCTCCCGAGTAGCTGGGACTATAAGCACGCACCACCATGTCCTGCAAATTTTTCCATTTTTAGTACAGAAGGGGTTTCACTATGTTGGCCAGGCTGGTCTTGAACTCCTGACCTCAGGTGATCCGCCTGCCTCGGCCTCCCAAAGTGCTGGGACTGCAGGTGTGAGCCACTGCAGCTGGCCTTAAAACATACTTTCAAAAGAAACTCACAAAGACTCCTAGTGCTTTAGAAAGAAAGAAAGAATCGCAAACACTGATGCTTTTTTTCAGCTTAATAATTAACCCAAAGTGTGGCAACTAACTTAACCCTGCTAATACTCAGTTTCCTTATCTCTACATCGGGATAAATAATAATACCTATCTCATAATAGGTGTTAGCACACTCCTTGTACATATAGGTATCCACTAAATGTTGGATACACAGGAAGGTACAAAGGTATTATAAAATATTTATATTTATTAAAACAAATAATTGTCCTCATTTTTCACTATCATTACAAGAGCTGACATTTACTGCATATTTAATTTGTGCCGAACACTGAACTAAGCAGTGGAGATAAAGAAATAAGACATGTTGACTAAAAAGGGTAAATGGACATCACAAGTAGAAAACAGTAAAAACAAAGGTAGTTCTATTGTTTCTTTTTCATTTGAGACCATGGTTACCTAGTTTAGCACAAAAACCACAAATATACAAAAGAGTTTATATATATTATGGACATAAGTTTTCATACAAATACATATAAACAAAGGACAGTGTTTTAATCCCATTTCTAAGTCTCTGCAATTGTTAGTCAATGAGCAGGAAAATGAGAGAATGAGAATAAAGAGTTAGCAGATTCTCAAGCACAAATTGTAGAGAAAAGTTTATTAATCATCACCGGGTGTGCTGGCTCATGCCTGTAATCCCAACATTTTGGGAGGCTGAGGCGGGCAGATCACCTGAGGTCAGGAGTTGGAGACCAGCCTGACCGACATGGAGAAACGCTGTCTCTACTAAAAATACAAAATTAGCCGGGCATGGTGGCTTGTCATACCAGCTACTCGGGAGGCTGAGGCAGGAGGATCACTTGAACCTGGGAGGCGGAGTTGCAGTGAGCCGAGATCGCACCATTGCACTCCAGCCTGGGCAACAAGGGCGAAACTCCATCTCAAAAAAAAAAAAAAGAAAAGAAAAGAAAAGAAAAAAGGAAAGTTTATTAATCATGAGAACAAAAAACCTCTACACCACTAAATGAGTCTATCTTTGTTAAATATTTTGAACAGAACTTGGTATATGATAAATGCATACCTAACAAATATGTGTTAATCTTGAGAACACAAAAATTTTATTGAATGTCATTAACATAAGGGAAAAAAGCATTAGAGGAGAATTTGGCTAATTATTTTTAGTAAGGGAGTGAGAACATACAAAACAGAGACAGAGAATAATTTTGACCCATTCTGTCTCTCGATATTTGAGAACAAATTAGTTGTCAAACGTGAGAATAGTACTTTCAAAGTGTCTTTTGTTTATCAGCGGATCTTCAGTTTATAGCTTATTAAATATGAAGTGAGGGGAGGACATATTTGTAAAAGATGTGGGCTGGGCTCAGTAGCCCCCACCTGTAATCCCAGCACTCTGGGAAGCCAAGGTGGGAAGGTCACTTGAATCCAGGAGTTTAAGACTAGCCTGGGCAGCATAGGGAGACCTCGTATTTACAAAGTATTTAAAAATTAGCCAGATGTGGTGGTCTCCACCTGTAGTGTGAGCTACTCAGGAGGCTGAGGTGGGAGAATTGTTGAGCCCAGGAGGTCAAGGCTGCAGCGAGTCAGGATCACACCACTGCACTCTAACCTGGGTAACGGAGTAAGCCTCTGTCTCCGGGGAAAAAAAAAAAAAGTGGATCTCACTGTTTGATGCAAATGACTCAATGGTCTTCAGATAAAATCATCATAGGACAATTCAGACATATCAAAATTTTAAAGAGTTCAAGATAATTCTTTTTTTTTCTTCTTTTTTTTTTTTTTGAGAGGGAATCTTGCTCTGTCGCCCACACTGGAGTGCAGTGGCGCGATCTTGGCTCACTGCAACCTCCGCCTCCTGGGTTCAAGCTATTCTCCTGCCTAGCTGGGATTACAGGCATGTGCCACCACAGCCAGCTAATTTTTTTGTATTTTTAGTAGAGACGGGGTTTTGCCCTGTTGGCCAGGCTGGTCTCGAACTCCTGACCTCAGGGGATTTGCCCACCTCGGCCTCCCAAAGTGCTAGGATTACAGGTGTGAGCCACCACACCCCAGCCAAGATAATTCTTAAGAGATACTGATTATTAACTTCAGTCTCCTACTTGAAATTTAAAACCTTAAGTGATTTATCCAATTATATGCTGTCCAGAAAAAAATGCATTCTTATTGCCACAGAGTTAAATCTTCATTAAAGTATCATATATAGCTAATTATTAGTTGAACCTCTATTTGCTTTAAGAGCTACAAATTATTTTGTCTACCAAAAGATTATTTGAAAAGCAGCCTAGTTATGTCCGTGAAAGATATTAGTATATGTTCCCTTTCTAAAAGTCAAAGAAAATGGTCTATACATGGCCCTTTCAACTTGCTAAAGAAGCTAGTGGTTACGAAAAACAGAGAGATAAAAAGCTCAAAAGGCTTTCTGTCATGTCTTAACAGTTTGAAATACAAGAACTTGGGACAATCATGAGGATACTCCTGATAATAAATCTTGAGTACCTCCTCAGAATCACAAAAAGGCAACGTGAGAAAACAAGGAAAAAATGCAAAATATTCAACCTGGAATCTAAGGAATTGCAATCTTTTGGAGAGAAAAACATTAAAAAGTAGGTAGAATTAACAATCTACTGTAGAGAAAATTGAAGAGTGGGGTAATGTATAATTGCAGTCATGATTATATAGGGAGTACCTAAAAGGCAAGATTAAGATCAAGGATGGAAACACCCTGATTCACTAAGTATGAGGAAAAGGTCTAGTTATCCCTGTCAACCAAGAAAGATTCTGTTGTTCTTTTGCAATCTAGACCTACATGGACTTAGGAGCTTTAAAAGTTTGCATCATGAATTTTCTACCGAGAGAGAGAGAATTCAACTTCCACATAGCTAAACCTCTAAGATTATCAAGATTTTGCCTTTCCTGAATGACATCAAGAGTTCTTTGTATTCAAAGACAACGTTGAAAGTAAGCTTAGTGTGAACTAAATAATGCTAAAAACATTTCCTCATTTTGTACCTATGAAAAACATTAGTAAGAAAATTGTTTTCTTCATAAACTTATAAAGTTTGAAATTAAACTCTTGTATACTGAAGCTACTCACCAATGCAGGAAACCACAGTGCTTTCTTTTTATCCAAACTAATGTAATCTACACATACAACTTTGCCTAGTAGCTCATCAATCTGTTTCCTATCATCCTCATCTTCATCACTGGAGGATGATGAAGACTCTTCCTCTGGTCTAGGGAGAGAAAAAAATAAAATATTTCCATTTATCCTCACAAAGAATAAGCATGCCAATGATGAATATAGGTATTCCCAAACTCTTATTACATTTCCTAAGACCTGTAAAATGGCTAATTTAAATCTTAAATCATTTTCTAAATTTCTAAAAAATAACAGCAAGAGTTTATCATGAGAGGAAAGCACATCATTTTCCCAAAAATATTTCTGGTTTATTTAGTGCTACTGTAAAAAATTGAGGAGGAAGATCAGGACAAATAACTGGTTCCCAAATCCTCAAAAAGGTGAAGGCCCCATATTAAACATCCCAGTATTACACTAAAATATACACAATCCCAATCTCAAATTAAAGGAATTCTGGAGACAGTAATTCTATATCTCCAGTACAAAGTTAATTTTAAAAGGTAGGAGAGCAGACCTTTATTAACTGAGGTTAGGTTGGGAAGAGGAGGCAATCTGAAAAGAGATCACCACTGCTATCCATAACAACAAATACACACCAATTAGGTATTCATAAAATGTCCAATAAGCCTCTTTTGTATGATGCTAAAAACTTTCAAAATTAAAAGAAAAACAGAAAATCCTTTCAGTAACATTAAATATTGGACTAGTAAATTAGAAAGATAACTGTCAGAAGAAAAAGGAAGTATCTGAAACCATCAACTTGATGTTTGAGGAAAGTGTAGTAAAAAGGAAAACAAAACAAAAAGCTATTCCAATTTGAATCTGATTCTAATAAAGAATCAGCACCAAAGAAAATGCCCAGAATGAGTAAAGACTAGGAAATGTTTGATGGACAACAACATATGTCCTTTTTAGAATGGCTATTATTGAATACCTACAAAGATAAAAGTGTTTTTCAGATAGTTTGCAATGATCAGTTTCACTGCCCAAAAAAGGAAAACTGACAGATTAAACTACTAAAAAACTTTAAACATGATTTACCTATTTAGTATACTATCTAGTATACTCTGAAGTTGTCTTTGATGCCTTTCCAAAAGTATGACAAAGTAACCGTCATGCCTTTATATTTATATATTCCAATATAAATGTAAACAAAGTGAAAACTATTTTTTTCTTTTTTGAGGCGGAGTCTAGCTCTGTTGCCGGGCTGGAGTGCAGTGGCACCACCTTGGCTCACTGCAAGCTCCGCCTCCTGGGTTCAAGCAATTCTCCTGCCTCAGCCTCCTGAGTAGCTGGGATTACAGGTGCCTGCCACCACGCCCAGCTAATTTTTGTATTTTTGGTAGAGAAGGGGTTTCACCATGTTAGCCAGGATAGTCTCGATCTCCTGACCTCGTGATCCGCCCACCTCGCCTCCCAAAGTGCTGGGATTATAGGCGTGAGCCACCCCACCTGGCCAAAAAAGTAAAAACTATTATAATAATATTAAGCTTTTTAAAGTGACATGGGGAATACCACCCCCTTGATTTCAATGATCAGTCAAATAACTTAAAAATTGTTCCCTGGCAGAAACAAAGCAAATCTTCAAAGCTTGCTATTGAATAGAAGTACTGTACTTTGGCTGGAAGTATTGTACTCCCAGCACTTTGGGAGGCGAAGGCAGGTGGATCACCTGAGGTCAGGAGTTCGAGACCAGCCTGGCCAAAATGGTGAAACCTCGTCTCTACTAAAAATACAAAAATTAGCCAGGCATGGTGGCGGGTGCCTGTAATCCCAGCTACTCTGGAGGCTGAGGCAGGAGAATTGCCTGAACCCGGGAGGCGGAGGTTGCAGTGAGCCGATATCGCACCACTGCACTCCAGCCTGGGCGACAGAGTGAGACTCCGTCTCAAAAAAAAAAAAAAAGATGTATTGTACTTCAATGGCACTTAAAGAAGTTCAATCTCTACTTAGAAAGTAGGTAACAATAAGAAAACTCAACCACCTTTACATTAGTGGAGAATAAGACCCTACACATAGACACACAGCTTGGGACAGTAACGACAGTCCTCACAAGTCTGATTTCTACTTGATTTACAAGAGCTTAAGAGTAGTGACTTTTTTTACTGTCTAATGACTACAGGATACAACCAAGCTTAAAATCATAATTACTGCTTTCTCAAAGTAGCCACAGAAGACTCATTCAGCTAGGGGTTTATGAACACTCTATTATCAGTAGCAGCTAGAAAGCTACAATGTCAGAGATAACACATATCAAAATCTGTACAACATAGAGAAAATTGGGCTTTATTTGACTAACAAAATTATCTGCATCATTGTAAAAATTGTAACTTTTCTTAAGACTTAACAAGTGTTAAGACTTCAGATTTCACAGTATATCAAAAAGAAAAACAAAACACCTTTGTTCAGCTAGCTGAAACATCTATCCACCTTACATATAAAATTGCAAGGTTCCTGTCTAAAATCATCTCCATTTTTAGACTAGATGCCCCTTCCCCCTCACCTACTCAAGACTTTGTTCCACCTTATTCAAATTTACAGTCCCTGCCCATCTACCTCTTTTCATTTTGCTCTTCATTTCCACAGCATTCACTTTTATCATACTATATAATTTACTTATTTCTTATGTTTATTCTTTTTTTTCACACCAAGTATGTGAATCCAATGTTTAATTCGCTATCTCCTCCCCTGAGAGAATGTAAGCTCTCAAGTTGAAGATTTTTTAAGTAATTTTTTTTTGTTTATTGATATATCTCAAGTACCTGAACAATGCTTGGCACAGTATAGATGCTAAATAAATACTTGTTCATAAAATAAAAAAGATGCATTTATTTTTTTATTATGGTATTTCTGATTTTTATTCTAAAATCACAAAATGTATACATCAGTGTAAACCATACTATTACACATGAAGCTCCTTAACTTTTCCTTTTAGAGGAGCTTAGCCAGAAAACTGTTTACACAGGTACTCAATAAACTAATGAACTAAAATTAATGAGCATCCAAAATATTTTACAGGAGCAAAGACAGAGCAAGCAGAGAGCCTGCTTGATTTTTATTCATTTCTGACATTGTTATTTCTTTGGTGGCAAGGTATTTGTAGAGCCACAACAAAATAATGCGCTGTCTCTATGAAATAAAATCTGATGATGTCACTAGAAAGAAAGCTAATTACATGGAAATTTTTACCATAATACTCTAACAGCCAATCACTTAAAGCTGATCACACTTCACTATTAACTCTAATTAGTTGTAAATCAAGAAAGACGAACTTTAGACAAGATATGGGCCAAGGAATACCAAATAATGATACAAATTGAGCTAGAAACAAGAGGCTCAACCTTTGACATGCAATTCTGATTATTTTTTATTTTAGGCAAATCAGTTTACTCAGTTTCAAACTTTGTAAATTGAAATGTTCTATTAGTATCTGGAAGACTGACAACGTATACATACCTTCTTAGAAACACACAGAACCTATGTACGCTTAACTATAAAAGGGTTTTAATTTTTTTCTCAATTTTTATCAAGGAGGAAATGAATCAAATTCTCATATTAAAATAAAGCGGCAAAATAAAAAGATCTTCTGGAATTAGTGATGATAGTTACACAATTTTATGAATATACTAAAAACCACTAAACTGTACACTTTAAAAGGGTGAAGTATTGGATACAAATCTACAGATTAAAATATATGAGTAAATTTTATGATACATGAATTATACACTAATTTAAAAATGTGTTCAGATCTGCAGGCCTGTATTTAAATAGCAAGTATAAACCAGGTATTGGGTAAATCTTAGCACTGTTACTGGGTAAAATCCATACTCATAAATAATCCCTTGTTAACAAGATTCATTGTAAACCTTATGCTTTATCTTTTTTCTGAAGGGGAAAAATATAACAGCAAATAGACTGCTTTCCTATTGTAGCAGTTGCACATAAACTTTTGCCAGATTATGGGAAAACAACTTCAAGAGGAGAGGGACAAACAAGTATTTCCATAATTTCAGGTATTCTATTCTTCTGGATGACTTAAACACAATCGCTGCAAACAATGGGTAAGTTATAAGGAGAAAATTCAATCCAGTAATACATTGATTAAAAGAATCAATAACTTGCTTTAAAAAAAATTTAGCTAGAGGATGATAATCATTAAAAAAAGAAAATACTTGAACTTACTAGGATTAAAGGTAGAATATACTGAAACTCAATTTAATGGAAGATGTTAAAAGTAATCAATTTTGGAATAACTAGGGGTAGATTAACTGATACGTGGAATAACAGCTGCTAAAAGAAAACAAATTTGGTGATACATCACTCCAACAACGAAGTCCTGGGAATCCTAAGAAGAGATAACTTTACATATCTTTGTACAAAAATACATTTTAAATGGCAATCTGAGATCACAGCAAAGACTTTTTTCAATGGAGTAATGGAAGAGGAAATGAAGGTCAGATGAATGCCCTTAAGATCTAGGTTTAAGACTTTGTTGCAGAAAATCACTTTGAAGAAAGGGGAGAAAGAACTTTGAGGAAATGTAATCAAGGAGATGGGCATTTCAAACTGTAGTACTTGCCTGTAATGCTTACACACCAAGGCTTAAAACGCCAAGCAAGAGTAACATTGTCAGGTTCCTTGGCAGTGAGAATGACCAACCGTGGTAGAGAAGGGCAAGGAAGAGCAAGCAAAACAAGATTACAGATGGAGCAGGTCTTCATTCCTACACTAGTAATCTTCAACCTTTTGTCTGCATTCATACTTTACACATGTATAACACAATCTCAACAGCAAATCTCTCATTACACATAGAGATTCTCAACAGGAAAACCACTAACTTAGAATGTTTGCTGGAGTCTTTAGAAAGCAAAGATCAACTTATTCAGCAACAAATGCGTGCTTTATTCTCATATTCACAAAACGGACGCCTCAACTAAGAAACATCTAACAGTTGGGGAACGACAGAAGAGGAAATAAAAAATAACTGACTTTTTAACAGATCATAATTTTTAGTCACATTTGCAGGTCAATATTACGTGATATTGCACAATAAATTCATTTTTAAATTTATTTTTACACTTTAGGATGATGTGTATAAAATCGTAAAAATATGTCTAAATACTAGATGCAATCTTCTAAAAATTAAAAAAACTTATTGACAAATAAGAGACTATTTTTCCTATAATATATATAAAAACGTAGAAATTTTTTAAAGTTCGAATAATTCAGCAAGAACCAGTCCTAATTGTCAGACATAAACACCAGGAAGCAGAATTTTTATATATACATGTAAACACATTTTCATATATAAATGAAACTGTTACATACTGGTATTTCATCATGAAATTTTTCATGTCAGTATATGATGTTGATTATCTAGTACTTATGTAACATTTACTCTATAAACACTTAAAGGATATGAATTCACTTAATTTTCACAACAACACTAAGAGATAGGTAATATTATTATCCAAATTTTATAGATAGGAAGTGAGGTATGAAAAGATTAAGTAACCATCCCAAGATCACACAGCAAGGAAGTGGCAGAGCCAGGATTCAAACCCAGACCAACTGGCTCCACAGTTCATACTATGCCAGAGAATTGGGTTTACAGGGGAGAGAAACATCTCTGGTTTCAAGGAAAGTGTGGGGAGACACAAAATGGTTCACATAAAGGTTTAAGCATTTTTGTTGAGAATTAAGGCATGGACAAGACAGTTACCAGGAAGGGAGGCATGGAGACCAAAAATAATAGCATGAATAAAAGCATGATATTAGAAAACAAGCGATGTATTCAGGAATTATTGACTGGTTTCATTTTGACTACAGCATCAAGATAACATGCAGGGAGAAATTGAAGGCAGATACAGCTGTTAAGTAAGGTTGGCTGAGCATGGAGAACCTCAATCACCCATGCTGAGGAGTCTGAAATTACTATTAGATCCGAAATTACTATTAGATCTGGTTAGCATTTTGCAAATTACAATTTTAAAATAACTATAAACAATACTAGAAGGAGAAATGAATTCAGGTTCAACTAACAGTCATGAAAATGGACTTACATATGATTAGATCTTCTTCCTCTATTTGTTTTCTTTCCTATGACTGGAGTGCCAAAATGCTCAGGGTTGGTGAGTGGGAGCTGGTCTAATGTCTGTGGGTAAGAACATAAACCCATCAAAAAATTAACACTTTGCAAGTGCCTTCTTTGTTTTAAACCAAATCAATTTAAGAATATGCTCAGATTTTGAGATTAAACTCTCCCCCCAGGGAAGCTAAAACACAGCTTTCCTAAAGATAGAAAATTCTAGTTTCAAAGATATTAGAATAAAGATGAATGAGCTCATTACTGGAAAAAAAAAGTGAAAAGAAATTTGGCTGCTCTCTCTAGATGATTCATTACCTATGTGAAGGTTGATAGGCATCTAAGAATGATTAAAATACAAAACAAACACAGCTCAGTGGAAAGACAAATGTGAGAATTAAGAAATCTATTTGTAAGGTTAGGGCCAACTGCAGCTCCAATATTAATTTGTACATGGGGAATCATAATCCATAAAATAAAATTATTAATAAGAAACAAAATTAATTATGAAGATAAAGCATCAATCGCACGAACAAAAAGCCTCGGAGTAAGTTATATTACTACTCTGCAAACATTTTCTGCAATAAACCTTTTTTAATAAAATGTAACATTAATTTAATTTTTTAAATTACATTTAATTTCTACATTTGATTTTTTTCCTTTCCTACGTTTTCTTAAGATTTTCCACAGTTTCTGTTCCTTTCCTCATCCTAAGAAGAATCTTTCCTGTTATAAATAATTTCACAAACATCAGAGCAACTAGAGATTTCCAAGAAAACTGCCCAGATGAAAATAAAAGTGAGGAACTATTTAAGACAGAGACTTCTTAAAGATACAAACCAGGGTGGTATAAGAAAGAGTATCCATGAACTTAGAATTAAAGAGCAGGCATCTAAACTAATGTAATATGTAAAAAGAAATGTTATATAACTTTTTTAAAATTGAGACAATTTTGTTATAACTACAATGAACAAAACTGTGAAAAGATGAACCATATTAACACTTTTTTACATAATTCATTAGAATATATGTAAATGTGTTTAAGGTACATAGATGTATGTATCTAACAACGAACAGTATGATCAAGAAAAAAGGTACTAGCCATAAAGGATTAACTAAAGATTGATTCCTTCAAAAGACTGACAAAAATCATAGCTTTCACAACTCTCATAGGGCAAAAAATCTAATCTTTCAAATTTAGTTTGTACAGAACCTAACCCTGTCCTAATGAACCTTAAATCAGGCATTTAAAAAATATTATTTGGGCCGGGTGCAGTGACTCACGCCTATAATCCCAGCACTTTGGGAGGCCGAGGCAGGTGGAATACCTGAGATCGGGAGTTGGAGACCAGCCTGACCAACATGGAGAAACCCCGTCTCTACTAAAAATACAAAATTAGCCTGGCATGGTGGTGGGTGCCTGTAATCCCAGCTACTCGGGAGGCTGAGGCAGGAGAATCGCTTGAACCCGGCAGGCAGAGGTTGCGGTGAGCCAAGATTACACCATTGCACTCCAGCCTGTGCAACAAGAGCGAAATTCCATCTCAAAAAATAAAAATAAAAATTATTTGGAGGCAAAAACTGTCCTAAACTCAGTATATACCAAACAGAAACTATTTTTATTGAGACAGAATGTCACCCTATCATTCAGGCTGGAGTGCAGTGGCGGCATGATCATTGCTCACTGCAGCCTCAACCTCCTGGGCTCAAGTGATCCTCCAACCTCAGCCTCCCAAGTAGCTAGGACCACAGGTGTGCACTATCACACCCAGCTAATTTTTGTTTTTTGTAGAGATGGGGTTTTGCCATGTTGTCCAGGCTGGTCTCGAACTCCTGGGCTCAAGCCATCTGCCCAACTCGGCCTCCCAAACTGCTGGGATTACAGGCATGAGCCACCACACCCACCCGGAAAATCTAGACGTTGCCTGTCATTAACTCCTATGGTGAAAATTTCTATGTAATCTGAAATATTATTTTGGTAATACTGTATCACTATAGAGTATTACTAAATGACTTTATTTGGTAAACAGGGAAAATAAATTAATCCGGATTCACTTTCTGTCAAGCAAACAGATGGATTAAATGTATGCTCTCCCCACCGAAAATTAAGGTTGCTCTCTTTAAAGCAGAAAAATAAAAGAGAGAGAGAGATTTATATCACACAGTGTGATTTCTATTTTAAGTATCTGTTAGTCATTTCACTTGCTACAGGAAAGAAAATTTCTAAAGAGTTGTTTAAGAATCACACATAGTAATTTTCAAATAAGAGACCACAGTCTCTCCCTAGTACATAACAAGAAGAAACATAAGCAATATCTCTGTCCCTATCTCAATGTCCAGGAAAGTAGGGGCATGTTTGTTTCAAGGGACTAAAAAGACCTGGGGGTAGGGTAGAATTTGTCCCATCTTAGACCTAAAGAGCAAAAACCAGAGGCTCCTGAAAGCTGTATTAAAGGCACATAGAAAACTCCGTAGGCCTAGAGGGAAAATGTCTATGGCCCTGTTACCTAAAATGGGCTGCAGAAAATATGGAACTGGGATTTTACCTAAACTTCTCTAGAGTTTTCAATTGCACATAGTAAATACAAAGAAAGAATACCAGATAATTGGCTGGGCGCGGTGGCTCACGCCTGTAATCCCAGCACTTTGGGAGGCCAAGGTGGGCGGATCACTTGAGGCTAGGAGTTCAAGACCAGCCTGGCCAACATGGCGAAACCCCATCTCTACTAAAAATACAAAAATTAGTCAGGCGTGGTGCTGCACGCCTGTAGTCCCAGATACTCAAGAGGCTGAGGCACGAGAATCGCTTGAACCCGGGAGGCAGAGGTTACAGTAAGCCAAGATCATGCCGCTGTACTCCAGTCTGGGCGACAGAGCAAGACTCTGTCTCAAAAAAATAAATAAATAAATAAATATCAGATGATGAATCTACTTTTGTATAATACTCAAAGTATGAATGGTCTTTAGAAATACCTAAACTGTCCTACAGATGTTAGGCAGCAGGTAACATACTCATTAAGCTGGTTATGGCTAAAACCAGTGGCTTCAGTGTTGGAATTTAAACTGACTGAGGCTGGGCGTGGTGGCTCAAGCCTGTAATCTCAGCACTTTGGGAGGCCAAGGCAGGCAGATCATGAGGTCAGGAGATCGAGACCACCCTGGCTAACAGAGTAAAACCCTGTCTCTACTAACAAATATTTAAAAATTAGCTGGGCGTGGCCGGGCACGGTGGCTCACACCTGTAATCCCAGCACTTTGGGAGGCTGAGGCGGGCGTATCACGAGGTCAAGAGATCGAGGTCAGCCTGGCCAACATGGTGAAACCCCGTCTCTACTAAAAATACAAAAATTAGCTGGGCGTGGTGGCACACGACTGTAGTCCCAGCTACTCAGGAGGCTGAGGCAGGAGAATCACTTGAACACGGGAGGCAGAGGTTGCAGTGAGCCGAGATCGTGCCACTGCAGTCCAGCCTGGCGACAGAGAGAGACTCCATCTCAAAAAAAAAAAAAAAAAAATTAGCCAGGCGTGGGGGCAGGTGCCTGTAGTTCCAGCTACTCGGGAGGCTGAGGCAGCAGAATGGCGTGAACCTGGGAGGCGGAGCTTGCAGTGAGCCGAGATCGCACCACTGCACTCCAGCCTGGGCAACAGAGCGAGACTCCGTCTCAAAAAATAATAATAATAATAATAAAATAAAATAAAAAGATAAACTGACTGAAGTGCAAATGTGATCTCTTTCCATGAAAATCCTGAATTTCAGTGTTTATGAGATGGGATTAATTTCAGTAGTTTATTAAATGGGATTAGTGACCCAAAATACTGGCAGTATGAAGCAGCTTTCCTCTTAAAGGACAATGTTATGGACTACTACTACTACTAATACTCTGAATGGTCTTTCAAAAACGTTAAAACTTTTAAAACAATATGAAAAATACCAAATAAAGAGAAAAGAACATACAGATGGTAGATTAAATTCCCCTATTGGGTGCACTCTGGACCACATCTTCACAGGGCTTAATATACTCAAATTTTAAAATATGTTTGATTGTTTGATTAATGCTTTTTCTCCTCCAACGGAGAGTAAGTATCCAAGGATAAGTTCCATGTTTACATGGCTTGGTTTGATTAATGCTTTTTCTCCTCCAACAGGGAGTAAGTACCCAAAGATAAGTTCCATGTTTACATGGGTTGGCTTAACCTTTGTCCCGGTACCTAGCACTACACAGCTCCGGGCACATGGGAAGGGAATTGAAGAATCACACACCAGTATTCTAATTTCCTTCTAGCAAAACATAAATTAGAAGTACACACCTGCACAGACACACTAAAACTGAACCTCCTTGAAGATATGAAGGATACATAGCCACTTGTTCATATTACCTTCAGCATTTAACTTACAACTGTCTTATGAACCATTCCAACTGAAAATTCTCCTGGTTAAAAAAAATAATATTTTGGCTATTTCTCTAGACTAAAAAAATAAAATGCAGACCTTCACTTAACAGGAGAAAAACCATGTCTTCAAGTCCTCATACTCACTGACTGTACGGAAATGAAATTAAAATAATTCCACGAACTCAGGGAGAATTCTGTACTTTATCACTATACTTGCCCCAAAGCTGTCTGTATTTATTGTATGTAAACCTTCAGTTTATTCCACACATATTTATTGAAGGCTTTTGTGTAGAAATTGCTAGGAAAAGGGGGGCCTATCAAGTGAGGAAAGAAAGGATATTCCCCTAAAACAGCTTAAAATCTTACAGCAAAAATGAGAAAAGTTAAAAAAAAAAAAAGGTCCTAAAACAAGAATAAGCAAGAGAAGTGCAAAACGACCAATTTGGGTAGAGAGCTCACGAAAGACATAGAGGAGGAAGCATTTATAATGGCCTTCAACATAAGTGAGATTCCAACAAGAGGAAAGGAGTCAATAAAGGAAAGTATGGACCATAGTCTGAAAATACCAAGCAGTCTAATAAGGCAGAAGTACAGGGAAGTGGTTGAATATGAGACTAAAGGGATAGGCTGGAATTATAATACAGAGAACCTGTCCAAATTCTAAATTTAAGTGGGAATTCAATCATTAAGAGAAGCAAAAATTTTTCAAAACAAAAACATAAAGTCTAATAGGTTAATAAGTAATATTAAAATATCCCCAAAGAAACACTATTCCAAATAGTGTTTAAGTAATAACACTACTAAATAAGTAATATTAAAGTAATATTAAAGTAATAAATAATAACAAATAAGTAATATTAATTAGTAATATTAAAATATCCCCAAAGAAACACTATTCCAAATAGTGAGTAGAGAAAAGAAATAGCTCGGCCACACTGTGTATCAATGAATATCTGTAGACTGGATTAGAGAACGTAACACCATTTAGAGCAACATCTACCTTTTAAATTCTGAATTGCAAGCGAGTTAGTTACAAAACTTTGTGAACCCTCTGCTCTTAGTAACATCTTTCAATTTAAGGATATGGCTTTGGTGCTAGAAAGTGCTGGTTAGAAAACCAGCTCTAGCTATCCATTTCCTAATCTGAAAGTTGGGGATAATAATAGTAACTACCTCATAATGTTGCAAATACAATAATGTATGTAAAGCACTTAGCAAAATCCCTGGCAATTATAAGCACCTCATCTATTCATCCAACTAACACTTATGAAGTTCATACTCTGCATCAGGCACTGTTACAGCAACTAGGAACAAAGCCATGAAGAAGATATACAAAGTCTCTGACCGTGTGACACATTCTAGTGAGGAAGGCAGACAATAAATAATTATGTACTCATATTTTGATGTTAGGGAATAAGACCTAAATCAATCTGAAAGGATGATAAGGAATGGAAGGGACAATTTTAGGAAGGGCAGTCAGGCAAGAGGAAAGGGCATAATAATATCAGCTAATAGCAGTAGCAGTAGTTAAAGACTGTTGTATCTACACATCCTTTAACTACGACAAGGATCAAGTAGATTACAAATCAGAAATCTGTTTTCTAGTTATTTACAAATTTTAAGTCTGTTTAAAAACTGCCTAAAGATAATAATTAAAGCCCATTGTATTTTCTCTGTGGACAAATACTGAAACACTTTACATAGACAAAAAAGAAGACAGAACCTGGTGCTCAAACACAGGGCCTTAAACAGGCTTCACAGATTACATCATAAGGGTATTGTGTATTAATGAACTTTCCTGATTAGGAAGTAGGTTTACTGAGTTGAGAAAGCAAAAATTTATTCCTCCCAATAAAAAATATTAAGACATGTTCATTTGTTAAATGATGACTTACTTCACTTTCAGCAAAATGCCTCTCTCCTTTCAGGCACAGTGAAGATCGTCTCAGTGTCTTCTCATCTCCGTCATCAAAAACTATGAGAGGGGGTAAAAATGGAAGCTACTGAAGGATTTTTTCAAAGATCAAAGAGATGACATGTATTACAATTTTCTGAGTGCAAACAGATCTACTATTTAAGACTACATTTGGAATTCAATTCACATTTTATGTTTTCTAGTGAGTAACTTCAAATATAGAGTTATTAAAGTAACTTTTCCAATTTCTAGTGAAAAAGAAACAACATATATGAAATGAAAACATCTTGTATAAAACAGGATATACCAAATAAAAATAAGAAGTTGGTATTTCAAGAGGAAAACATTTAAATGCTAATTAACTCTTCTCAAAATGGTAAAGAAATGACAAGTTTTCCTACTGACAGATATTGACAGATTTACCTAAGAAAGATTACAAGTATATGCAATCAGACTGCCCCTTTAAAAAAATAACTGTATTTTCATTATTTAAAGTAGGGTTTCTCACCCTTAGCACTGTCACTAGTGACATACTGCACCAGAAAATTCTCTGTTGTGGCAGGCTTGTCCTGTGCACTGCAGGATATTTAGCAGCACTCCTGGCCTCTACCCACTAGATGTCAGTAGCACCCCCTTCCCAGCTGTGACAACCTAAAATGTCTCCAGCTCCAGGCATTGCCAAATGTTCCCTGGGGGTAAATTCATCCCAGTTGAAAACTAGCGACTTAAAATACTAAAATGTCTATTAAAAGGTGATGGAAGTGTTAAGCAACTTGGCTGCAGTAATTACTTCACAATATATTTGCCTATCAAATCATCATGTTACATATACATTTATATGATTTTGTCAATTATATCTCAATAAAGTAGGGGAAAAATTTTAATAAAAATAAAGTACTTAAAGCACCCCAGCAAAACCACCATAAGTTAACAGATATGGAATGTATGACTATTTGTATTATATGCATAAATCTGTGATATACATAAATAATTTAGGGATATGCTACATTCCTTAGAAATCATGGGAAGACAGTAACTCTGTTTTAAATAATGTTACCAGATCTCTATTTTAGAAATTACATTTTCTGCCTACCTACTAAAATTAGATACTCTTCTTTCCTTTTCTTTTTCTGATGCTCAACAGGATCTCACGTTTATTGAGAAATGATTAATGGTTAAAAGAAAGCCAATACCCTTTCCTTACTGGCTGAACTAAAATTAGATTCTTATACGTTACATAACAAGTTACATTATGTGAAACTGGATAAATAATTTTCAGTACATCTTTAAATGATGTAACTAAAATATACAACATAAGTGTCACATTTAGTAGACTATTACAACCAATCACCATCTAGACTTCCTACATAGAATTGCTCACAGTCTTCTCACTTACATAAAGTCAAATATTTCCTTATGTCTCAAAATCAAATAATTTTCCCTCTATTTTCACCAGGTTTTATTCTCACACCAAAGAAGTATAAACAAAACTCACCTATTCTATCTGAAAGTTCTATCAAACTCTGAAATCACGAAAGACATTTTACTAGGTGTTTACTTTCATCTCTGAGGTCATTAAATGGTAAGAATTGTTACCTTTAATAAATAATACTGGAATAAATGGCTACCAATCTAGGACAAATACTTTTTAATCATTATTTTAGAATGTTGGAAAAAATACATACTACTGTAGGTGAAATAAAAATCTGTTTGTAAAACAAAAATAAAAATAAATTTAAAAAGTATAAAAAATTTGAAGAATACATTAGAAAATAGATTTATAACACTGATGGAAGGCTTTAAGATTCAAAACTAAAATTACAAAATAAAAGGTGACCATACAAAAACTGACTACATGAAAATTAAAAGCAGAGACAAGAATAAAGCAACAGGAGAAATATATTTATAACTGAAGTAGTAAACAGTTAATATCCAAAATATATAAAGAACACATATACCAAAACTAATAAGAAAAAGATAAATCATCTCAAGAGAAAAAGGGAAAGAATAAAAGAGCCAGCAACTCAAAACGGAGAAAACACAAATGAAATTATGTTCCTTTCAATAAACATATGAAAAGATGTTCAATCTCACTAGTAATCATGGGAAGGGCATACTGAAACAAAACTGAGATACTACTTTATGTCCAAATTAGCAAAAAATTTTTTTAAATGACATAAAATCTGACAAGGATTGAGAAAACAGACAGTGTCTTTTAGGAAGGCAGTTTTCATTAACTACTAAAGTTTTTGGAGTATATTTTTCTTCAACCTCTATTTCTCAGTATGTACACTAAAGAAATACTAGGATACAGTAGGTATCCTAATTAAGTACCTAATTAGGTAAAAAAGACATTCAATCCAGCATTTATTGTAATAGTAAGAAAACTGGAAACCTCATCAGTAAGAAAAAATAAACTAGCACATCAACTATTATAAAATACACTACTACTTTGTTTCCTGCTGGGAGCTAGATAGATAGATAGATAGATAGATAGATAGATAGATAGATAGATATATATCTCTCTCTCTCTCTCTCTATATATATATATACACAGTTAAAAGACATTTCTATTATAAAACAACATGAATATCCTTAACATTACTGAACTATAAACTTAAAAATAGGTAAGATTGGGGAAAAAAAGAAATTTACCTAAGATATACTTTGAAGTAAAAAAAGCTAGAATTCCAATTGCATAATATACACATTAAATAATTTCAATTTTTGTTACATATACATACATATACTTTGGAAATAAATTTTTAAAAGATGTGGAAAGATAAAATCCAGTAACAGTAATAATATCTAGGGTATTAAGAAGTGAATCCAGGAAATTTCATTTTATTTGTATTAAGTTTTCTTTGTGTAACTAAAAACACATTTTTAAAAGAAAATTTATTTTCTTACCTACAGTGTACCAACTCGCATCTGTTAGTTTATTGATAACAGCTTCCTGATATGCACCATCAAGATTCTTCACTTCCACAATAGCTCCTACCTAAAGTATTTTTAAACATGTTAGAAAAACTTTTAAAAGGTAAATTAACAAACCAAAACCTGGGTTTGTTTTCTTTTAACTGAGTGCATGATGGTGAAGAATAAAATGACTATTGACTTCATTTAAAAGTACCAGCAGTTGGCGTGAGCACAGTGGCTCACGCCTGCAATCCCAGCACTTTGAGGGGCTGAGGCAGGTGGATCACTTGAGGTCAGGAGTTCGAGACCAGCCTGGCCAACATGGTGAAACCCCGTCTCTACCAAAAGTACAAAAATTGGGCAGGCGTGGTGGCAGGCGCCTGTAATCCCAGCTACTCGGGAGGCTGAGCCAGGAGAATTGCTTGAGCCTGGGAGGTGGAGGTTGCAGTGAGCCGAGATCGCGCCACTGCACTCCAGCCTGGGTGACAGAGCAAGACTCTGCCTCAAAAAAAAAAAAAAAAAGTGCCAGCAGTTTTACCGATCAATATTTTTGTACCATCAGTGAAAATGTTAATGTAGTAAAAAAGGCAAATAATACCTAAGTACTATTATAAAGTTTTACCCTTACAACCCCCGCCAAAAGAATCCTGGGAACCCCCAGGGTCAGTAGACTACACCGTGAGTACCACCATCTGTGAAACTGACTGTCCTTGCCCCGTATTTCCACTCTTCTTTCAAGGAACCTCAGGAAGGATAGGGACAATTTAAAAATTGCTCTGGGGTTTCCTTTTGGCCCTAAACCAGCCAAAGAGCACATAGTGGTTTACCCACACATTCTCTTTTAGCTTGCTCACTGGCAAAAAGCAAAGCAGCATTTATTTCACTTGCCAATGAGGAAAAATGAATGCAAAGAAATAAAACTCTCCAACTGTTAGTGTAAAGGCTGATGACCCTTAAAAGATTTCATTTGCCAGTAGTGGCTCCAAAGAAGTAAGAGCTCCGATTTTTTTGGTTTTCTAACTTTCTCACTTTTCAGATCATCGTGGAACTGACATCACTAATCCCTAGTTCATCATCTATTAATTTTGGAAAATCCATCATTTTAGTAATGGAAATATGGTGGATTAAGTAAATAAATGTAGTCAATGCTTCTTTGATACTCATTTTATTTCTGAATAAACTGGTTTTACTACCATATCAAGTATTATTTAATATTAAATCTTTTTTTTAAAAGACAGCATCTCATGCTGTCCCCAAGTGCAGTGTACACAATCATAACTTATTGCAACCTTGAACTCCTGGCCTCAAGCTATCCTCCTGCCTCAGCCTCCTTAGTCACTGAGATTAAGTCTATTTTTTCTATTAGTCTTTTTAGAGAAAATTACATATTGAATTTATCAACTCAATAACAAAAGAGCCAATGAATTAATACCAAGTATGATTATTTTTTCCCAAACAACCATTAGAATTAACAATGAATACATGAATTACCTTTAGTGGGCCCTTTATGTGGTCATCCTGAACTTCCACTGTTGAAGAATCATGTCTAAATGTCACCTAGAGATTATAAGTTTAATTAGCCACCAAAAATAAACCAAGCAACACAAGCTCATCAATGCACCAATTATTCATTTGTAGTAAAAGAAATATAAAATAATAGCTGCCTAGTTTATACAACATCCCAATCCCTAAGTAGATTAACTAAAAAATTATTTACAGACAACTGCTCAGACCGTATCTGTTTTCAAAAATAAAAGTAATCAATGATAGCACATCTAAATTACTAGATGTTCCACATGTCATTTTTTTTTTTTTTAACTTTTTTCTTTTTTGATACACAGTCTCACTCTGTCGCCCAGGTTGGAGTGCAGTAGCGCAATCTTGGCTCACTGCAACCTCCACCTCAGGGTTCAAGTGATTCTCCTGCCTCAGTCTTTCAAGTAGTTAGGATTACAGGCACCTACCACCAGGCCAACTAATTTTTGTATTTCTAATAGAGATGGGGTTTCAACACATTGGCCAGGCTGGTCTCAAACTCCCAACCTCAAGTGATCCGCCCGCCTTGACCTACCAGAGTGCTGGGATTACAGGTGTGAGTCACCACGCCTGGTCCCACATATCATCCTTTATTTCAATACTATCAGTTATGAATTTAGTTGTAAAATTGCTTTTCCTAAAAAATGAGAAAGAAAGATATGGGGATTTTAGGCTATTAGGTATTATATCATTTTGTGAAGGCCTACCTTAATAATAAACAGTAGCAGCAAACACTTAACTGAGATCTGAGCATCAGTCTCTAGTACCAAACATTTAATCTTCACAACAACCCTATTAGGTAGGTATGACTGTTCCCATTTTGTTGATAAGAAAACTGAGAAACAGGCCAGGTGCGGTGGCTCATCCCTGTAATCCCAGCACTTTGGAAGGCCGAAGCAGGTGGATCACCTGAGATCAGGAGATGGGACCAGCCTGGTTAACATGGTGAAGCCCCATCTCTATTAAAAATACAAAAATTACCCAGGCATGGTGGCGCATGCCTGTTAATCCCAGCTACTCCGGAGGCTTAGGCAGGAGAATCACTTGAACCAGGGAGGTGGAGGTTGCAGTGAGCCGAGATTGCGTCACTGCACTCCAGCCTGGGGGACAGGGCAAGACTCCGTCTCAAAAGCAAAACAAAACAAAACAAAAAACAGAAAGTGTAAGTACCTGGTCCAAGTTTACAGAGCTAGACATGGTGGAGCTGATATTTAAATGTAGGCAGTCTAGTTCCAGAACTTTACTGTGCTCTATATCATTACAGAAATCAGAGAATGGGAAACCAGAGGTGAAAAGAGTAAGTTAAAATAATGAGTTCAAATTTAAATACTTAATTAGCTGGTGAAAAACAAGATAGCTTCCACTACTCAGTATAGAAAACAATTGTTTTCTCTAACAAGGGAAAAGAGTTCTTATAGGGATTGAATCATTAACATGGTCTTTATCAGGTATATGTGATAATTATTTTAGGTAACAGGCAGGCCCACTCAAAAACCAGCTATGAAAGGAGATGCCTTATACCCACAGCATCCCAGGCATTTCTGTGTCATACAAAAGCATTATCACACTTTTTATTTAAATCACATGTTTAGATATCTGTGCCCTTCACTTAAACTATAAGCTACTTACAGATGGAGACTAGGTCTTAACACTAGAGTTTCACCTTTAGATAGAGCTTAGCACATAGTAAATGTTCAACAAATGAAAACAGGTAGTGAAAACATATCAACAAATTTGTTAAAAATATATTAACTTTGAATCATAAAGAAATTACACATGTTAAAAAATATATCCCTATATCTACTGACAAAATCACTGAATGAAATACACTTTCTTTTTCCTTGTGTATGTGTTTTAATGGACATCACCTCCACAGAAACAAATTTTTAGGGCAGCCGAAAAAATTAAAAATAAGCTTTAGATATTCATTACTTATAAAGCACAAGGTACTCTGTGCTATCAATAGAGGCAGTAGAGTCCAGTAAGAGTTTTGTTCCTTTCATTTACAGCAAGAAATGGCAGGACTGCTACATGTCATTTTCCTAGTTCATTCATTACACAGGAAATGTGCAGCTAAGGATGCAAGATGGGGCTTAAATCCAGCCTTTGCTTTGTGGGCCAAAGCATGGGTCCTGGAGTGACACAGCTCCAGTCCAAAGAGAATGTCTTTTCCAACTGGCACAAACTTGCTATCTGCATGCCAAGCGCTGCTAAGAAGGCTTTCCACCAGGAGAGAGGGCTTTTGTCTACTTCACACAAAGGTGATACATGTGCTACCAGTAGTCCTGAAAAAGTACAAACATTGATAAAAGGCTTTCTCTTCCTCTACAGGATAGTACTGGCAAAAAACAGTGCTTGGGGAATACCAGTGTGTGAAGCCAGAACAGGAAATGCACACTATAAAAGCACCAACCACCAAGCATGTGGAAACTGAAGGTAGGGTGGGGCCAAGACTAGCCCCCTACCAGTTTGTAGTTAATTTAAAGGACTTATCACAATGGTTCCTAACCAGGAGTGTAAATTAGAATCACCCAGGTAGCTTTTTCAACACATCCATGCATAAGGAATATAGGAACAGTAAAAGCTCCAGAAGAGACTGATACCCTCCACAGAAGCACAACACCTCTACAGTCTATGTAATTGGTGAAATAAAAACCAATGGCTTAAAAGGTATCTGCTAATCTAGATTATAAATTCCTTGAGGACAGATCAGGTCAATCTCATCCTAATATCCCCATCCTCCTTCCCACCTAAAAGTTCCCTGCAAAAGGTTTGTCACTCAATAAATTATTGACAAATGAATAAATGTCTATATTCAAGTTCACTTGTCTGGTATTTTTCAGTGCTGATAATTTATTAAAATGGAAGCAATTACACTCCTTTTTCTATATTAAGACAAAACTCAAGTACTTTAGAAAGATGTTTCAAGAAAGGCAGAGCATAAGGAGTCAACAACTAGATGTACCTTATTTCACTGTTATCTAAGGCACCATCAATTACAAGTCACATTCTAATTTTATGGCTGAAATAGAGGGGGTGATGCCTTAAAATTGATGAACTATGGTAGTTCCAATTCTGCCATGAATTTGGCATAATGGCCTTGGAGAAATCACTAACCCTCTCCGAGCCTCATTTTTCTTGTAATAAAATGAAGCAATTAAACTAGATGACTTCTAACTTCCTTTCCAGCTCTAAAACACTATACAAACAATAAGACGTCTATAGTGAAATGGCATTCAAAATACCAACTGTGATAATCTAATTTCTTTCCAATTATAATACTTTTAAAATAACAAAAAATGCTTTGTTTTGAGGTATTTTTACAACCTTCACTCCTAGAAACTTATTTTGCAGAAAAATCTTAAATACACTCACCAAATAAAAGTTTACATATCAAATGCTGAACATACAATTTATGAAATCTATAAATACTGTACCTTGACTTTGACAAGTCTTTTTGCTGTCTTGATCTTGGCTTCACAAAAGGCTCCTCTGTATTTAGCACTCACATCAGTGCCCACTGTCAAATAGGGAGGCTCATCAAGGGCCTAAAAATGCAAAGAAATATAATTAGATTTAAACTCTCTAATTCTTTCCCATAATCAGACCTCAGAATAGTGAGCCTAATCTTGTTAAGCTACAACAGTTATAAATATGAAATGTATGTTAACAAGACCAATCTATAAAATACTATAAATTAAAAAACAAGTAAAATGTTTATCATAAAGACTATTTAAATGTACATCACATAAAATATAAAGGTATCTTATTTCCATTAAATACATATGGTCCATGATATGAATTAGCTCACTCACAAGTATACCCCTCTAGTCACTCATTCATTCAAATATTTATTTATTCTATGACCACTTACAAGAAAAGGGTCCGTTGGCCAGAAGGCAGATCTTTAAAGCTCAAATTCTGGGGTGGGGGGGAAATCTTCTAATATTTAGGCTGTATCTTGGCAGTCACCCAGATTCAGAATAGCTCTGTTATATCTCTATCTAGAAAAGTCTAAGGTAGTTTAGTGTAGTGCCTGGTGTGGTGGTTCCTGCCTATAATCCCAGAACTTTGGAAGGCCAAGGCTGGAGGATCACTTGAGCCCAGGAGTTTGAGACCACCCCAAGCAACATAGGGAAAACTCAACTCTACAAAATAAAAAAATAAAAACTGGCTGGCTATGGTGCCATGCGCCTGTACTCCTAGCTACTTGGGAGACTGAAGTGGGAGGAGTGCTTGAGCCCAAGAGGTCGAGACTCGAGTGAAAAGTGATCGTGCCACTGAACTCTAGCCTGGGCCACAGAGTAAGACCCTGTCTCAAAAAAGCAAACAAAAAAGAATGTAGTATAGCATACAAGGGAGAAAAGTTAGTATATTTAAACTACTAGTGAAAACTATATGAAGAAAGTCATCTGGAAAGTCTCAAAACTTTGAAGCCAAAATATCTTAAATGCTTTAATAGGAGGGATTCGCTGGATATTTACTCTTCTACCTTAACTAATATTTATGTTTCCTCAGTTGTGATTTAGTTTTTAATAGCTGCTCTTACGTTTTACATTCAGGTACATTTCTACATTTTTATTTCTAAGGAGTTCTTCTGCTTATAGTAATTCCATAGCCAAAGGAAAATCATGGAAGTAAGCTTTTTCCAAAGTGCTTTATAAAAAGTACTAACATCCCAGGACGTTCCACCAAAAGGAAAGGAGGCAGGAGTTGGGGGAAATTCACTATATTGAATGAATTACTTCTCTGCCTCAACTTTGGAGATTCATAAATGTAAGCTAAAAGATCTGAGAAACCCTATAATAGAGAAAATGATTACATTTTAACTCAACATTTCCCAATCTATTTGTCCAAAGAACCCTTTCTTTTCTATTGACATCTATTAACATCCTACAGAAATCCCATAGAATATAAAGTGAGAAATGCTGTTACGAGTAATAAATAATGAAAGAATAATTTCATTTAGATTTTAAAATAAATTCTCCCCTAAAAGTTGTAGCTATCATACAGAGTAATCTATTTCCCAAAGAAAAAGGGAAAAAAACAATATTCTAGTGCTATAACAGGAGTGCCCACAATTATATCAGACCTCCATAATGGCCACCTGCTTCACATTCCATGTATTTCATAAAAAGTAAACTCAAAACATATCAGTTATACAATTTTTAAAATCAACTTAGGAAAATGCCTATTCATCAGTTCATTTATACCATAATGGGAATATACCCTTACAGAAAGATAATCATTTCTGCACTAATACTTTCTAATTTTTTTATATTATTAACTACAACTTGATAACTTTACATTGCTGTTGTACCTAGTGAATAAATGCATTTCTACTTTACCTACCTGCCTTAGGTCTCTTAAAATATCATTTTCCCTGGCCAAAATTATGGTTACATTCCAGGCATACTAGTGGCTTTATTTAAGCAATAATATGAAAAGGGACTCACACCACTTCGCTCCAAAATCATAAAAATGGCCACGCATTGTGGCTCACACCTGTAATCCCAGCAATTTGGGAGGCCGAAGCAGGACTGCTTGAGCTCAGGAGTTCAAGATCAGCCCAAGCAACACAGCAAGATCCTATCTCAATTAATTAAAAAAAAATTTTTATCATAAGGATGGGAATATAATGTACAGCACAAGTGATAATGAATGTGTTTGTTAATTTAACTGTGGTAATCATAAAATGTACATCAATTCATCATGTTGCACATACTGAATATATTCAAGCTTTACTCATCAATTAAATTTTTTTTAAATGTTTTATAGAGAGAGAAACAATTTAAGGAAATTTCAGTTCACTTTGTGGTTCAATTGGTACTGGGTATTACTGCTATAAAAACCCAAATGGCAGGGCAGTCTTCATGACCACAGGCTCATAACTTTCCACAATTTGCAACCTCCTCTATTAACACATTCTGCCATACTAGCCAGTAAAATTTTATTTTCAGAGACAAACAGTATAGTTAAAAATAAATTAAAACTGATGAGGCAACTAAAATTATGAAACATAGAAGAGAACAATAAATCAACTAAAAGTTGCATATTTGTACCTACTGAGGAACATATAAAAATTTAGGAATTGATACACTTTTAAATTTTTAATAGATAATTCTTAACAAAAATAGGGTATAGAATACTAACATCTTTAGACTATTAGTATTCAGAAACCCATTTGCGTATTCTTTTCATTAACATTCACAGACACTAGCAACATTTCAACTACAGCAAACTGCAGATTTGCTTATTGGGCATATTTATTAAAGCTGAATTTGAGAAAGGGGACTCCCTCCGCCCCCAAATTAAGCCCATCCCACATCTTCAACAATATAAAAATCCGTGTTGACGGGAGAAGGGTATTTATTACTTCAAATTATTGTGGGGCAAACTATTCTTTTGAAGGGCAATATTTTCTTTCCTTCATGCTAGAACACAGGAAAAGGAATTACAAGGCATATAAAGAAAATGCCTTTAGAAAGACTTGCAGAAGGAGGGCTGGGCGCGGGACTCACACCTGTAATCCCACCACTTTGGGAGGCTGAGGCGGGCGGATCACGAGGTCAGGAGATCAAAACCATCCTGGCTAACACGGTGAAACCCCGTCTCTACTAAAAAAAAAAAATACAAAAAAATAGCTGGGCGTGGTGGCGCACACCTGTAGTCCTAGCTACTCAGGAGGCTGAGGCAGGAGAATGGCGTGAACCTGGGAGGCGGGGCTTGCAGTGAGCCAAGATCGTGCCACTGCACTCCAGCCTGGGTGACAGAGCGAGACTCCATCTCAAAAAAAAAAGACTTGCAGAAGGAAACCAAAGTCTAATAAAAGCTGCTAAAACTGAAACACATCATCAGAGCAGTGTTAATTCGTTAGAAAGAGCACAGAAAAAGCAGTGATCTGTGTTCTGATCTTACTGCTGCCACCTCTATTTATTATACATTATCTCAGGTAAGTTACTTTTCTGTTCCTAAATTCTCATTCAGCACAATAATTTGAATCTTACACATAATTGTTTAGCAAGCCTATATCAAAGCACTGGCATTACAAAGGTGGTCAGAACGGCAAGTTTTGAGACATATATAATCATCTAGAATGAAACTGTCAAACTATTTTTCAATGCCAACCAAAATATGAATGAGACTTTACACAGAAACCCAAATCAAATCCATAACTGAGGTGGTCAGATTTGAGTATGTAATTTTAGCTGGGCATAAGGTATCACTCTATCATTACTTTAACATGAGGTAATAGAGCAGACTGATTAATAGCACAGGCTTTGAAAGCAGAGAGGCAAGGTCCTAATCCAAGCTCTACTCCTTACACCAACTAGATGAGTTTTTGTAGGCTACTGAACCTCTCACCTCTCTAAGCTTCAGCTGCCACATCAAAAAAACAGAGTCAATATTAGAAAGCACTCCATTGTGATGTCTGAGGTAGTCAGCTAGGAAGTTATAATTAATATTATGAAACACTTGATGTGGACAAACAAGTCATTTTATCAATAGTAATTCAGATTTGGTTCCCTTCCTTATTTCTTCTTAATATTCGAGGGGCAAAACCACATTTTGGCTGGGCAAGGTGGCTCATGCCTGTAATCCCAGCACTTTGGGAGGCCAAGGCGGGTGGATTACCTGAAGGTCAGGAGTTCGAGACAAGCCTGGTCAACATGGTGAAACCCCATCTCTACTTAAAATATAAAAAATTAGCCAGGCATGGTGGCGGGCGCCTGTAATCCCAGCTACACGGGAGGCTGAGGCAGAAGAATCGCTTGATCTCAGGAGGCGGAGGTTGCAGTGAGCCGAGATCATGCCGTTGCACTCCAGCCTGGGCAACAAGAGTGAAACTTCGTCTCAAAAAAAAAAAAAAGTTTTCGGCTGGGCACGGTGGCTCATGCCTATAATAATCCCAGCACTTTGGGAGGCTGAGGCAGGTGGATCACGAGGTCAGGCATTCGAGACCAGCCTGGCCAACATGGTGAAAACCCCCTCTCTACTAAAAATACAAAACATTAGCCAGGTGTGGTGGCGGGCGCCTGTAATCCCAGCTACTCGGGAGGCTAAAGCAGGAGAATCACTTGAACCTGGGAGGTAGAGGTTGCAGTGAGTCAAGATTGTGCCATTGCACTCCAGCCCAGGCGACACTGTGAGACTCCATTTCAAAAAAAAAAAAAAGTCAGTATAATACAGTAATTAAGAGTATAGGTTCCCAAGCCAAGCACAGTGGCTCACACCTGTAATCCCAGCACTTTAGGAAGCCTAAGTGGGCGGACTGCTTGAGCCCAGGAGTTCAAAACCAGACTGGGCAACATGGCAAAACCCTGTTTCTACTAAAAATACAAAAATTAGCCAAGCATGGTGGCACCTGCTTGTAGTCCTGGCTATGAGGGAGGCTAAGGTGGGAGGACCACTTCAGCCTGAGAGACTGAGGTTGCAGTGAGCAGAGATCGCGCCACCGCACTCTAACCTGGGCGACACTGAGACCTTGTCTCAAAAAAAAAAGAAAAGAAAAAAAAGGGTATATGTTCCTAAACTAGATGCCTAGCTTCAAATCTATCCCTTAGTAGTGAGGTGACCTTGGGCTAAGCCACTTAGCTAAGTGCCTCAGCATACAATAACAGTTCTGTCACAAGGATGAGGAGTAAGACGGTGCACACAAAATGCTTAGAAGAGGGCCCAGCACACATTGCCAAATAAAGGCTATTATTTTTACTTTACAACCTGGGAGGCAATTGTTTTTTAAAAAAAAATGTTTAAGTCTATATACAAATGGGTTAAGTCATAAAAAAAATTCCCACATAAATAGAGCAGATGCCAATGTAATTGTGTATATACGTGGGGAAGAGGGGTTCCTTTAAAATATTTTCTCCCTTATTCAATCCAGACATGAAGTAATCATGTTGAATTCCAGCGGCAAGAGAATCTTAAATCTTTGTGGGGATGCTCCATAATAAAAGTGTATCACGACCCCTTAGTGTACCAAGATTGCACCAGTATTTTGAGGTTAATTTACTTTGGTCCAATTTAGAGACATAAAAAAGATTATGTCAGCAGGTTAACTAAGATTCTTTTGACCAACACCAACCCTGATAAATATGCATGTCTATCTATACGTAGCCAGAAAAAAAAACTCTTGCCTTTTCTTTTTGCTCTGCTTCTCTAATTCTGATCAGTAGTATGGATCATCTCAGAGGCTAAAATAAGATGTTTTTATGTAGCACCTCCATGCCAAAAAGGAAATTAAACTACTAAATTACCATCCCTTTGTTGAGCAAACAGAACAGTTTTCTGGTTGTCAAGGCAACAGCTACCTCACAGTTTTCCAGCATTGCTTAAATAATTATTTTCCTAGCCAGTCTACGAAATGTCCTAAGTGGCACCTAAAAAACACTGAATTCCATGGGAACACTAAAAAGCATAAGCAATTTTAAAATTAGCTATTAGTGGATAATAATCCTTCAAGATGCCAAAATGCCAAGGAAGCACAGAAGTGCACAAATGAATCAACAGTAATCTCTAATGTGTCTCTGGGCTGCAGCACATCAAATACATAAATTAAGTTTTAGAAAGACAATAGTTAAATCAAATCTTCAAATGGCTGGCTAACACAGACACTGACTAGGAAATACTCAATTATTCGAGATGGTTTTTAAAAAGCAAAACATGCTAGATGACATTTTATTGAGGTAGTTTATTTTAAAAAGTGAGGGATTCAAATTGGTTACAGTGCCAATGTAGCCAGAAGAATCAGAAAACAAGAGTATTAAATTTGATCATAAAAACCATCAGTAGGCTGGGTGCAATGGCTCACACCTACAATCCCAGCACTTTGGGAGCCCGAGGTGTGTAGATTGTTTGAGCTCAGGAGTTCAAGACCAGCTTGGGTAACAGGGTGAAACCCCGTCTCTACCAGAAATACAAAAATTAGCCAGGCATAGTGGCATGCACGTATGGTCCCAACTACTAAGGAGGCTGAGGCGGGAGGATCGCTAGAGCTCAGGAAATGGAGGCTGCAGTGAGCCATGACTGCAACACGGCACTCCAGCCGGGTTGACAGAGCAAGGCTCTGTCAAAAAACAAAACAAAACAAAACAAAAAACCATCATTAATAAATGTACTTAAACACAAACCACGTGACAATAAATCTATGAAAACAGCCTATTTTATATATAGCAATCCCAATGAACTATTAAAATAATGGAGATAATTCCAAAAGATGAATGAACAAAATATACTTGCATTTATATACCAAACAGTGTACCATTTAAAAACCAAGCTTAAAATGCACAATTTGGTGGGAGGGAATATAAAAAAAATGAATACATCGAGGAAATGAAGAAAACCATGGCCAGGTGTGGTGGCTCACGCCTGTAATCCCAGCACTCTGGGAGGCCGAGGCGGGTGGATCACGAGGTCAGGAGATGGAGACCATCCTGGCTAACCCGGTGAAACCCCGTCTCTACTAAAAATATAAAAAATTAGCCGGGTGTGGTGGCGGGTGCCTGTAGGCTAACAAGGTGAAACCCCGTCTCTACTAAAAATACAAAAAAGTAGCCGGGCATGGTGGTGGGCACCTGTAGGCCCAGCTACTCGGGAGGCTGAGGCAGGAGAATGGCATGAACCTGGGAGGCGGAGCTTGCAGTGAGCCGAGATCGAGTCACTGCACTCCAACCTGAGTGACGTGAGACTACGTCTCAAAAAAAAAAAGAAAAGAAAAGAAAAGAAAACCATGCAATATAACTTCAAAATATTCTCTGGGGCCATTTCTTCTCTCCTTTTTCATGTGGCACTAAGGACATGGATTTGTGAAGGGGTAAGGGTTGAATAGGCACAAGGACAGAAGCTGAATATACAAGGCAGTGAAGAGGAGGCCTGGGGGAACCACATGGAGGTGCAGTCCTGTGGCGGAGGACATGGATGAGAGCTGAATAGGGACAGAGGAGATAAGCTGCAAGGCTGGAAGATCCATTACCCGGACCAAATAAGTAAATGGACTAATCAAATAAGTAAATACACTGAATATAGTGGGGGCCATGTTTTTCACTCCAAAGAAGTTAAAATGGAAGGAAGGGAGCAGACTACAGAGAAGTCTAAATATTGGACTGGAATTGGAAATTTGGTTTGAATTCATGATTGTATAATATATATATATGTGTATATATACATACACACACACACACACACAGAAAAATAAACAAGTACTTCTAGGTGTGCGTGTGTGTCCCTATATTTTCCTAGCTCTGTCCAAAAAGAAAGTACTAAGAGCAACCAAAAGACAGCCCAGTAACAACAACAACAAACAGCAATAGCCTACATCTTGATTTATTTATTTATTTTTAATTGAGATGGAGTCTTGCTCTGTTGCCCAGGCTGGAGTGCAATGGTGTGATATCGGCTCACTGTAACCTCTGCCTCCCAGGTTCAAGCAATTCTCCTGCCCCAGCCTCCCAAGTAGCTGGGATTACAGGCGCTCGCCACCATGTCCAGCTAATTAGTAGAGACGGGATTTCACCATGTTGGTCAGGCTGGTCTCAAACTCCCGACTTCGTGATCCACCCGCCTCGGCCCACGTCTTGATTTCTAAATAACTCTCTCCATTATAAGGAATTAGGATCCTTAGAAAAATGGTTGATTTCAAGGTTGGACAGAGAAAAGCACAAGAAGAATCTGAAACATCTTGTGTCAGAAAGTAAAGAAATGGTGCGATTAATGATAGGGACATTTCAAACAGACACAGGAAGCATCTTGAAGGGGTTTTCCTCTTACTGGTCAAATGGGGGAAAGTTTGAGCATTAAAATAAATATTATTTGTGCTATTATCTCCTTAGGGATATATATGTATGTCAAACTGATCAACTTAAGATCTGTGTATTCCACAGTAAATTAATTATATCTCACTTTAAAAAGTTGGTAACAAATTACAATGCATTCAGTAAAAATGAAATCCGTGAGTCCATATTGACAAGAATGAATGAATGAATGTTTTAAAATGTAGAAAAGATAAAGCTTTTCCTTATACTAAAATGTTAATAACTGTAACAGAACTGACAGAGAATCAGCGTTTGGCAACCATCATAAAGGTGGCTGATTCAGAGAGCTATCAAAAGATGCTAAGCTGACAGGTGGTTTGATGAACAGAATATTCACATCATCTTTGAATACTACTGAATTATTTTTAGTGGTGTAATTGTGCAACGTTTTGCACTGTAATATCAAAAGAGCAACTTTCTGTGGTATATCTGCCAAGAGTAACTGGAAATGAGAAAAAGTAGACAGACCGAAGTTGAAGTTATTCTGTTCTATTTATCAGGAATTACACACTGGAGTACAATGGGTGACAGAACATTGTGTTTTAAGCTTGCTCTTAAAAAGTTTGAACGTAATGATAATGAGTACATACATATGTACACATATATGTATACAATATATATGTGTATATATACACACATATATATACACACACATACAAATCTGTGTATATATCTCTCTCTGTGTATACACACACACAGAGAAAAAGATAAATTAGATATAGAGCAAATGACATCGAATGTTAACAACTGGCCAGTCTGGTGAAGGAGATTACATGAACTATTTATACAGCAAATTTGGAATTATTTGAAAATAAATTATTTTGTAAAGTAATATATATTTATTGGGCATTTGCATATTTTTCTATTAATTATCTATTTATATTATTTACCCATCTTTCTGAATTGCTCATTTTTGTTTTTGTTTTTTGTTTGTCTGTTTTTTTTGCTGGATTGTAAGAGTTACTGCATATTTTAAAACTCAACGCCAGCCGGGCGCGGTGCCTCACGCCTGTAATCCAAGCATTTTGGGAGGCCGAGGCGGACAGATCACAAGGTCAGGAGATCGAGACCATCTTGGCTAACACGGTGAAACCCCGTCTCTACTAAACATACAAAAAATTAGCCGGGCGTCATGACAGGCGCCTGTAGTCCCAGCCACTCAGGAGGCTGAGGCAGGAGAATGGTGTGAACCCAGGAGGTGGTGCTTGCAGTGAGCCGAGATCATGCCACTGGACTCCAGCCCGGGCGACAGAGAGAGACTCCGTCTCAAAAAAACAAAAAACAAAACAAAACAAAAAAACTCAACCCCTTCCCAAAACACGAAAATCTTTGGATGTTATCTATATTTCTTAATATTCTTCTTACAATTTTTTAAAGTTTATTTTTGGTTTTTTACATGGCCCCACTGTGTATCTTCTTAAAATTTAAGCTACTTTAGGAGACAAAACCTAAGCTACTTTAGGTTATAAGTAAATTTTAGATCCACATCTCATAAACCAGAGGGATATCTGCATAGTCACAAATATTAACAGAAGAGTATCTGCATATTCCTGGAAATTTAAGTAACTCCAAAGAAATATTCTAACTAGAATTTTCTGCCTCGGCAAACAGGCAAGAGAGAAATTGGGAGAGACATTATTAAAAGCCAACTATACTTAAGGCACTGTTCTAAGTATCAAAAAAGCAAAGGAGCTTTCTCATGTAACACAGCCAATCTACTCTGCCTTGAGAAGAGGTTATTTGTCATCTTGCTAGTGAGGTCACAATCATATTCAAATGCAAATGAATCTTCTTTGGAGTAACAGCACTCTCAGAACATAAACTTTCATGATCTGGAAATTAGAGGAGCCTAGTGGAGGATTCAGGCAGTTCAAAATTCAGAATACAAACAGAAACAGAAACTGGCATTGTTATGGTTTAATGTATCTGGGCATGTTAGTAATAACTACTGGCATGGATTAGAAGGCAATAAGTAGAACATTTTTTAGTATAACAAGTCACTAAAGACAGCATCTGGAGAACATTTAAAAGAGTTTGATTTAAAAAAAAAAATCCTTAAAATCCCTACTGGGCCAGTCCTGTAATCCCAGCACTTCGGGAGACCAAGGCAGGAGGATCACTTGAGCCCAGGAGTTTGAGACGAGCCTGGGCAACATAGCGAGACTTCATCTCTACAAATAATTTTGAAAAATAAGCCAGAAGAGGTGGTGAACACTTATGGTCCCAGCTACTAAGGAGGCTGAGGTGGGAGAACTGCTTGAGCCCAGGAGGTTGTGGCCGCAGTGACTATATCACTGCACTCCAGCCTGGATGACCAAGCTAAAAAAATGATAGGTCGGATGCCATGGCTCACACCTGTAATCACAACACTTTGGGAGGCTGAGACAGGCGGATCATCTGCAGTCAGGAGTTCGAGTCCAGCCTGGCCAACATGGTGAAACCCAGTCTCTACTAAAAATACAAAAATTAGCCAGGCATGGTGGTAGGCACCTGTAATCCCAGCTACTTGGGAGGCTGAGGCAGGAGTATCACTTGGACTCGGGAGGCGGAGATTGCAGTGAGCCGAGTTTGCACCACTGCACTCCAGCCTGGGCAACAAAAGTGAAACTCTGTTTCAAAAAAATAAAATAAAATAAATAATAATAATAATCCAGCCAGGCACGGTGGCTCACACCTGTAATCCCAACACTTTGGGAGGCCAAGGTGGGCAGATCACCTGAGGTAAGGAGTTTGAGACCAGCCTGACCAACATAGTGAAACCCTGTCTCTAATAAAAATAAAAAAAATTAGCTGGCCATGGTGGCAGGCACCTGTAATGCCAGCTACTCACGGGTTGAGTCACGAGAATCACTTAAACCCAGGAGGTGGAGGTTGCAGTGAGCCGAGATCACGCCACTGCACTCCAACCTGGGCAACAGAGCGAGACTCCATCTCAAAAAGTAATAATAATAATAAATAATAATAATAATCCCCACCAACCAAGTTTTTAATCGTGTTTCATATCCTCAAGAATATGATTTTGAAAGACGTCATCAACAAGAAACATCAATCTTTAATCACTTGAAAACCTATCAATTACTTGTCTAGTGACCAAAAGAAACGGACCCACACAACATGTATTAAACACTAAGTCACAAAATTCATTCTAGATTCAGAATATTACTGTAGTAAGCCCTTTGGTAACTTATGCTAAATACTCATTGATGTAACACTATATACTGACTTTCCTTTTCCCAAATATACCAACATTTTGCAAAAGTGACCATTTTATACCATATTTTAATGATTCCTATCTGTCCTCTAGACTGAGCTACTTAAGATAGAAATAGTGTCTTATTCACCTATGAATGCCCTGGTCCTAGAATAGCACCTACATATAGAAGAAATTCATGAGATAATTGTTAACACAAAAAAGATTAGACATTAGTTAAGCCCTGCTAAATGAGATTCCTCTTAAGTTGAATATTATTTATATTTCAAAAATACCTTATAATCAGAAGCGTCTTATATAAACAGGTGAAAAAGCATGAGCTATGGAATCAATATCTGAGATCAAACTTTAGGTTCATAACTTACTAGATCCATCATCCTTGGGAAAAATTATTTAACTTATCTGAGCATAGCTTCACATTTGTAAAGTGTAGTTTATCATACTAATAAAACATATGTTCACTTTTATATTATACATTTATTACATATTATAATTAAATATAAATTACATATTAAATACATACAATACCAATGTGGCCTATTACACATAAAATCACATGTAATAAGCACTCAATATAAATAAATGTCTATATTAATTTATTATTACCATTCTTTTTAAAGAAGATTTTGTACTTAACAATCAGATCACGTAGAAATTAGTGACAGAAGCAGTTCAAGAATAGGTATGAGCAGCTAAGCAGCTAAGCTTATGAGTACAGGACTACAGAGAAGAATGATAGGGGCATTGGTAGCAAATATCCACAAGTGGCAATTTTGTTTGGGTAAGCCAGGTGATTTTCCAGATACTCTGGAGAAATGTTTTCTGAAATCTCAAGTTCCTGGCAGTTATATTTACAGGCTAGAGTGCAGTGGCGCAATCTTGGCTCACTGCAACCTCTGCCTCCCAGGTTCAAGTGATTCTCCTGCCTCAGCCTTCCAAGTAGCTGGGACTACAGGCGTGCACCACCCCACCCAGCTAATTTCATGTGTGTGTATTTTTATAGAGACGAGTTTTCACCATGTTGGCCAGGCTGGTCTCGAACTCCTGACCTCAGATGATCCGCCAGCCTTGGCCTCCCAAAGTGCTAGGACTACAAGCATGAGCCACCGCACTCAGCCTACACAGCTGTTCTTAAACTTAAAAAAAGTAAATTATCTCTCCTTTACAGAGATGATGGTTTATTTTTATGTTACTGAAATTCATACAAACATAAAGTTACCATATTTCATCTAATTTAAGTCACTAATTGTAAACCACACCTACCACTAAAAAAGAAAAAAGCTGCCAATTAAACTACGATATACCATCAATTGACTGCTAAATGCATCCTGATTTCAGAGATGTTAAAATGTAGAAAATGTATACTTGTACCTGATAAAATGTAGTCATATAGTAGCTAAGAATTATTTATTCTTACGGAACTGTACAAGTATAAAACCAAATCTGCAAACTAAATTCCACAAACCAACAAAATCAATGAAATTCAAGTAAGAACATTAATTCAATATGATGGATGATATTCTGCTACAACTACACACTCAAAACACAAATATGGCACAGACTACTTTGGACTAGCATGCTTTTAATATTGAGCACAGTGTAACGAATCAATTCTCCCACCACTTTTCCCTATGTAAACTAGTACAAAACCTTTGCTGGAGAGATCAATGTTGCCTCATGATGTAGGAACATATCACTTACTGTGAACTCCATCTCCGTTGTTTTATAATCAAACCTGCAACAAGCGAAGTAATACTACTCACTATGAACGCTGGTTGTAAAACATAAAAAGTAATTGCAGAAACTGAAATTATACTAGTTTGGTGCAAAACTAATTGTGGTCTTTGCCATTAAAAGTAATTGCATGCCAGGCACAGTGGCTCACACCTGTAATCCCAGCACTTTGGGAGGCCAAGGCAGGTGGATCACCTGAGCTCAAGAGTTCAAGACCACTCTGGGCAACATGGTGAAATACAAAAAAGCTACTAAAATACAAAAAAAAAAAATTAGCTGGGCGTGGTGGTGGCTTGGGAGGCTACTTGGGAGGTTGAGGCAGAGAGAATCACTTGAGCCCGGGAGGTGGAGGTTGCAGTGAGCTGAGATTACACCACTGCACTCCAGCCTGGGTGACAGTGAGACTCCGACTCAAAAATAATAAATAAATAAATAAAAATAAAAGTAATTGCAAAACCACAATTACTTTTGCACCAACCTAATAGTTCTCTGCTATCCAGATGTACAAATGACCCAGAAAATGTTTATATTAAATCTTTTTAGCTCTCTGTATGAAATGAAATGGAAGAAACTCAAGATAAAACAATAATAAAGTATATACCTTTTGAATTTAGTGTCATTTGCATGTATTACTTGATAAAAATAATCAATTAAAAATGTAATTTTTTATTCTACACAGAGAACTTGCAAACTAGGCCAAAGAGAATTTCGGAGAAGTCCAGTTTGATATACACTCACATAGAGGTAAAAGGATATAGAAGAATAAGGCCATAATTTGTGTAAAGAATATCTCAACTCAGCTATGGCTACGATCTGCAACCTATTAGTTGACTGATTTTTACTCCCTGATTCTCAGTTTCTCCACTTCTAAAAAGAGGGTAAATAATACCTTCTGCCTTAAAAACACTCTATATATAAATGTTAAGTCTGCTGCAGACTTATCTTTGAATTATGATTATCATGTGCTAAATCAAATGCATACTAAAAACAGGCACAATGGTAAGAGTAGGAAAATCCAACACTAGGCCTAATTTTGTGTGTGTGTGTGTGTGTGTGTGTGTGTGCACGCGC